>NC_000001.11:248456848-248608364 GCF_000001405.40 Homo sapiens | reverse complement strand
GAGCAATACTTAACAATATTTTAGTGGAATATCTTTTAAAAAACAAAGCCATTCTTTAAGATTTAAGAGAAAGGAAAAGTAGAATAGCCACATATATACATCACAATAAAACAGGTTGAGGACAAACCTTAACCCACCAAAGGATGCCTGGAGAAACTATAATGGAAAGGTTCCTGATAATATGTAAAAGCATTTAATAAAAACACATGAGAAAATGACTCTATATGAATAAGTAAATGAAGGTATGACTAAAATAGAAATGTAACAAACTGAGACAATATAGACTGTGATAACAATATAAAAAAATCTAGAAACTGGGGAGATGGATGTGGAAATGACTAATAAAGATGTCTCCTTCTACCAGTATTTACATGTCTTTTATTTTCTTTTATATCTTCACAAAATCCATACCTTCCTTGGCAGACCAACCTCTTTACAATTTATACTTGATGAATCAGTTAATACGGATATAATTATATGATTAAAGTATAGGGATATGCTAAAAGGTTTTAAGAGGAATAATGTAACTGAAAAACTAAAATTGAGTGCATGGTGGAGAGAGTGGCAAATGTGTAAATGTACTTAAATAGTAATTAGATTGTGGAAAAACTAGACATTTGAGCATATTATTTGAAATATAAGAGTAATCCAAAGATCTA
The DNA here is from genome assembly GCF_000001405.40 of Homo sapiens. NCBI lineage: Eukaryota > Metazoa > Chordata > Mammalia > Primates > Hominidae > Homo > Homo sapiens. The sequence goes on along the minus strand of NC_000001.11, from coordinate 248,607,705 downwards.
AAAGAACAATGTGCTCTTCTGAGGTTGGAAAAAATGAATAAAATGAAAAAGTAAAAAATTTTAATTTTAAAAACCGAGCTCTCAAACACAAACACATAATTAACTATACATGGGGAGAAATAAAAAGTTAAAAAAGGAAGCATAGCAAAAATAAGGTGTCAGAAAAGAGACCAACCATTTCTAATTTCCATAAATTGAAATTGCATAATTTGCATAAATTGAACGGACAGACCTATTGAAAGAGAAAGGGTATTGAAGTAAAGGCAAAACCTAAATGTGTGTTGCAGAAGCCGAGGATACTGTAGTTGGCTTGCTTGTTTTCATCCCAACTTCTTCATATGTCTTTTGACTGGTAAAGCTGGAAAACTAAAATCTATGTATACAAACTCCATGGTATCTGAGATTCACCAGTAATTTAGGTTCTATTGATGAGGTGCACGTGAGGAGATTTAGATGGTAGAAGTGTGGAGGCCGCCTTGTTCTTTGGCTTTTTTCTTTTAGCACGGAGACGCTTTATTTTTCGTACAGCAGCTCACAGAATTGGGAGGTATGAACAATAGAACCAGCATAACAAGAATAATAAATCAACAAAGCTTGATAAAGGTCATATTGGGATTTTTGTACTATTTTAAGTGAAATCTACCTGTGTACCATGTAGAGACTTCCATCCAGCTGTCTTTGTCCAATTTGAAGAGTGTGATGATGCTTCACCACAGATATTGCACATGTTGTGAACCTTTAATTCTAGACCTGTATTTCTATGCTCGCTTTCTGGAGTAGGTTTCTTCTCACTCTGTTTTAGAATTGGTTTTTGCTGGCTTAGGGGAAACATACTGATTAATTAGTAGCCTACTCACTGAAATCTTACTAGGTTGCTTTTTATGGATTGTGTAGTTCCTGCTATGATTTATGGGAGATTTTGCATCTGAATCTTTTAACAACACTGTGTGGTAGAAATGATTATCGTCCCTACCAAGCCCTCTAGGGTCTGCCTTAGTCCACCTCTCCAGAAATCTTTGGCATTCTCCATCTCCCTCTCCAGGTGGAGCATATTGCACTTCCTCCCATTTTGGGACCACATCAAGATTATACAGTAACCAAACAGCATGGCACTTGTCCAAAAAACAGACACATAGAGCAACAGAATAGAGAACTCGGAAGCAAGGCCACAAACCAACAACCATCTGATCTTTGACAAAGCTTAAAACATAAGCAATGGGGAGAGGACTCCCTATTTAATAAATGGTACTGGGAAAACTGGCTACTCATATGCAAAAGATTAGAACTGGACCACTTCCTCACACCATTTACAAAAATCAACTCAAGATGAATTAAAGACTTAAATGCAAAATCCAAACCTCTAGAAACCCCAGAAGACAACCCAGGCAATACCTTTCAGCATATAAGAATGGGCAAAGATTTCATGATGAAGATGCCAAAAGCAAAAACTGACAAATGGAATCTAACTAAGGAGCTTCTGCACAGCAAAAGAAACTATCAACAGAATAAACAGACAACTTACAGAATGGGAGAAAATATTTACAAACTATGCATCTGACAAAGGTCTAATGTCCAGTATCTATAGGAAACTTAAATTTACAAGAAAAAAATTAAAAAGTAGGCAAAGGACATGTACAGACACTTTTCAAAAGAAGATATTCTTGTGGCCAAGAAGCATATGAGAAAAATCTCAACATCTGTGATCATTAGAGAAATGAAAATCAAACCCACATTGGGAAGCCATCTTACACCTGTCAGCGTGACTATTATCAAAAAGTCAAAAAATAACATGTTGATGAGATTGCAGAGAAAAGGGAACATATGCACTGGTGGTGGGAGTGTAAATTAGTTCAATCATTGTGAATAACACTATGGCAATTCCTCAAAGATATAAAGACAGAACTAGCATTCGACTCAGCAGTCTCATTACTTGGTATATACCCAAAAGAACATAAATTGTTCTATCATAAGGACACATACTTGCATGTGTTCATAACAGCACTGTTCATAATAGCAAAGACATAGAGTCGACCTAAACGCCCATCAATGGTAGACTGGATAAAGAAAATGTGATACATATATATCATGCGATACTATGCAGTCATGAAAAGAATGAGATCATGTTGTTTGCAGAAACATGGACGAAGTTGGAGGCTATCATTCTTAGCAAACTAACACAGGAACAGAAAACCAAATATTGCATGTTCTCACTTGTAAGTGGGAGCTAAATGATGAGGACACAAAGGGGAACAACAGACACTGGATCCCACTAGAGGATGGAGGGTGGGAGGAAAGAGAGAAGCAGAAAAAAACAGCTACTGTTGGTCAGGCACAGTGGCTCACACCTGTAATCCCAGCATTTTGGGAGGCCAAGGCGGGGTGGATCGCTTGAGGTCAGGAATTCAAGAACAGCCTGGCCAACATGGTGAAACCAAGTTTCTACTAAAATACAAAAATTAGCTGGACGTGGTGGCACAGCCTGTAATGCCAGCTACTTCAGAGGCTGAGGAAGGATAATCGCTTAAACCCAGGAGGCAGAGGTTGCAGTGAGATCGTGCGACTGCACTCCAGCCTAAGTGACAGAGCAAGACTGTCTCAAAAATATAAAGTAATAATAATAAAATAAAAATGTTGGGTTCATTTACCCAGTTTAGTATCTATACCATACCTTTTGGATTTGAGACAGGTGTCATTTCTCACCTCAGAAATTTATTCCTATTATTTTGTCCTGTTAACCCTCCTTATTTTCTCCTCCTGGAAGTAGTCTCTGTTCTAACATTTCTGCAGTGTTGTGCTGGGGCCAGCTTGCACTAGCTGGTGAGATATGATTATTCATATCCTTTCCCAACTGTGTGGTCAGTGACATCATATTAGCAACCTGAATTTACCCACGTTGGGAGTATGAACACGAGAGAAAGTTGCAAACAACAAATCACACATATTAGTATTTTTAAATTTTGTTTAGTATCATTTTGTTTAGAGATATGGTTTAACACCACACAAAGACTCTAGAGCTTTTTTAAATTTTACTTTAAGTTCTGGGATACATGTGTAGAATGTGCAGGTTTGTTACACAGGTATAATATAGGTATAATGTGCCATGGTGATTTGCTGCACCCATTAACCCATCATCCAGGTTTCAAGCCCCACATGCATTAGGTATTTTTCCTAATGCTCTCCCTCCCCTTCCCCCACCACCACCCAACAGGCCCCAGTGTGTGATGCTCCCCTCACTGTGTCCATGTGTTCTCACTGTTCAACTCCCACTTACGGGTGAGAACATGCGGTGTTTGGTTTTCTGTTTCTGTGTTAGTTTGCTGAGAATGATGGCTTCCAGCTTCATCCATGTCCCTGCGAAGGACATGAACTCATGGCTGCATAGTATTCCAGGGTGTGTATGTGCCACATTTTCTTTATCCAATCCATCATTGATGGGCATTTTGGTTGGTCCCAAGTCTTTGCTGTTGTAAATAGTGCTGCAATAAACATATGTGTGAATGTGTCTTTATAGTAGAATGATTTCTAATCCTTTGGGTATATACCTAGCAATTAGATTGCTGGGTCAAATGGTATTTCTGGTTCTAGATCCTTGAGGAATTCCACACTATCTTCCACAATGACTGAACTAATTTACACTTCCACCAACAGTGTAAAAGCATTTCTATTTTTCCACAGCCTTGCCAGCATCTGTTGTTTCCTGACTTTTTAATAATCACCATTCCAACTGGCGTGAGATGGTATCTCATCGTGGTTTTGATTTGCATTTCTCTAATGACCAGTGATGAGCTTTTTTCCATGTTTAATAGCCACATAAATGTCTTTTGAGAAGTGTCTGTTCATACCCTTCACCCACTTTTTGATGGGATTGTTTTTTCTTGTAAATCTGTTTAACTTTCTTGTAGATTCTGGATACAAGACCTTTGTCAGATGGGTAGCTTGCAAAAATTTTCCCCCATTCTGTAGGTCTCTTGTTCACTCTGGTGATAGTTTCTTTTGCTGTGCAGAAGCTCTTTAGTTTAATTAAATCCCATTTGTTGATTTTGGCTTTGTTGCAATTGCTTTTGGTGTTTTAGTCATGAAGTCCTTGTCCATCCCTGTGTCCTGAATGGTATTACTAGGTTTTCTTCTAGGGTTTTTATGGTTTTGGGTTTTAAGTTAAAGATTTAAATGTATCTTGAGTTAATTTTTGTATAATGTGTAAGGAATGGGTCCAGTTTCAGTTTTCTGCATATGGCTAGCCAGTTTTCCCAGCACCACTTACTAAATAGGGAATCCTTGTCCCATTGCTTGTTTGTATCAGGTTTATCAAAGAACAGATGGTAGTAGATATGTGGTGTTATTGCTGAGGTCTCTGTTCTGTTCCATTGGTCTATATATCTGTTTTTGGTACAGGTACCATGCTGTTTTGGTCACTGTAGCCTTGTAGTATAGTTTGAATTTAGGTAGTGTGATGCCCCCAGCTTCTTTTTGCTTAGGATTGTTTTGGCTCTACTGGCTCTTTTTTGGTTCTATATGAAATTTCAAATAGTTTCCTAATTCTGTGAAGAAAGTCATTAGTAGCTTGATGGGAATTGCATTGGATCTAAAATTACTTTGGGCAGTATGGCCATTTTCACGATATTAATTGTTCCTATCCATGAGCATGGAATGTTTTTCCATTTGTTTGTGTTGTCTCTTATTTCCTTAAGTAGTGGTTTGTAGTTCTCCTTGAAGAGGCCCTTCATATCCCTTGTAAATTGTATTGCTAGGTATTTTATTCTTTGTAGCAATTGTGAATGGGGTTCACTCATGATTTTGTTCTTGGCTTGTCTATTGTTGGTGTACAGGATTGCTTGTGATTTTTGCACATTGATTTTGTATCCTGAGACTTTGCTGAAGTTGCTTATCAGCTTGAGTTCTGGGGGTGAGTCGATGGGGTTTTCTAAATATACAATCATGTCCTCTGCAAACAGAAAATTTGACTTTCTCTCTTCCTATTTGAATACCTTTATTTCTCTTGCGTGATTGCTCTGGCCAGAACATCCAATACTATGTTGAATAGGAGTGGTAAGAGAGGCTGGACCAAGCGGACTGAACAGACACCTACAGGACTCTCCACCCCAAATGAACAGAACATACATTCTCAGTGCCACATAGCATGTATGCTAAAATTGGCCACATAACTGGATGTAAAACACTCCCCAGCAATTCCAAAAGAATGGAAACCGTAACCGTCTCTCAAATCGCAGTACTATCAAATTAGAACTCAGGATTAAGAAACTCACTCAAAACCGCACAACTACATGGAAACTGAACAACCTGTTCTTGAATGACTGAGTAACAAAATTAAGGCAGAAATAATTTATCTGAAACCAAATGAGCACAAAACACAACATACCAGAATCTCTAGGACACACAGCTCAAGCACTGTTAAGAGGGAAATTTATAACACTAAAGGCCCATAACAGAAAGCTGGAAAGATCTAAAATTGACACCCTAACATCACAATTAATAGAACTAGAGGAGCAAGAGCAAACTCAAAAGCTAGCAGAAGACAAGAAATGACTAAGATGAGAGCAAGACTGAATGAAATAGAAACACGAAAATCCCTTCAGAAAATCAATGAATCCAGGAACTGGGTTTTTTTTTTAAAAGATTAACAAAATAGATGGACCACTAGCTAGACTAATAAAGAAGAGAGAAGAGTCAAATAGACACAATGAAAAATGATAAACGGGATATCACCACTGATCCCACAGAAATACAAACTACCATTAGCATTTAGAAACCAAGATCTAGGCACTCCGTGTGCTCATTCATTGCTACTGGGTTGTCACTGCTTTTAGAACATTCATTCCTTTATGTGAACAATTGAATACAACTGGTGCTGCACTAACTCTACACTCAGCCTTGCACAGGTCATTAAAAGTGAAACCCTAAAGTTCAAGACCATGAATAAATTTTCAAATTCCGGAGAATCCAAACCTTCAAATTCATCCACTGACTCCTTCACACAGCACATTTTAATTTCCATATTAATAACACTTTTTATTGTTTCATGTGATTTTCCAAGACAACTTTATCTTCATAACAAAGACTTCCATTATATTAATAGTCTTCATGCCTCTTATAAGTTTTTGTTTTCCAGGTTCTTGAATCAATATCACTCTCTTCCATCTGAGGCATTTATTCTTCAAAATGTGAAGTATGAGTTTTCCTTGGAGGTTTCAGTAAATTTTAGCATTGAAAATGGAAGAGTCAGCCAAGTTAGTGCTCCCAGTGGTGGATATTAACACATTATTTCCAGCCATTCTTTGTACTCTTCTAAATTAGCACTCTCAAACAAAGCCCTGGGAGTTACTCTTCAAATGTCAACTCCTCTCACAGATACCACCATTCCTTGCTGGTGGCAGCCAATTTCCATGTGCTTTACTTTAAAACTATACCAATTTATACGGCATGGTATCTGTGCAAATTGTCAAATGAACAGATGGAACAGAAAATAAAGCCTAGAAATGGATCAACACCTACATGTACATTGGATTTATGACCAGGGCAACCACTCAGAGTGGGAAATGCAGGATGCTTTTAATAGTTCTGACTCCACTGCACAATCCACATGGAAAAAATGAATATTGATCCCTACACTACAGGATAAGAAAATATATTTCAGATGGGCTGTATAGATTGAAATATAAAAGGTAAAATAATCTCTTAGAAGAAAATATAGAACAACACATTATAATGATGAGGTAAGCAAGTATTTCTTAAACAGAAAACAAAAGTGCTAACACTAAAGGAAAACATAGTAAGTTGGACTTCATTAAATTAAAATTTATTTTAAAAAATTAATATTGTAAAAAAGCAACCCATAGAAAACAAGGAAATATTTATAAATAGATATATGTATGAAGGATTCATATAGAACACATAGAAGAAATTCCTACAAATCAATAAAGAAGCAGAAAATCCACTTAAAAATGGCAAAAGACTAGAATGGGAATTTACAAATATGATAGCCATGATTCCAATAAATTATTCCAATAAATGTACAAAATGTACATTCCAATAAATGTATGAAAAGGTTTTCAACTTGGCTAGTTGTCAAAAAATGACACTTTAAAACCACAATGAAATAGCACATCTGTCAGTGTGGTTATGATGATTAAAATAACTGCTAATGAGACTATAAATTGATAAAACCTCTGGAAAACAGTTTGATAGTATCTGATAGAGCTGAATATGTGCCCATCTATGACCCAGATATCCCACTCCTGGTTATATATGCAACAGAAATGCAAACATGTGTTTACCAAAATACATGTTTTAAAATGTAGGTGAAATATTTTACTGAATAAATTTTTTGTAGTGGTTAATATATATTTTTAAAAGTATATAGTTTTATAAAACTTAAATGATTTACAATAAATTTCTCCAATTAATAAAAGTCAAAATGGTCAGTTTAGCTGTGGTATTGTTTTTTTGCGTTATCCTTTTAGCTTGTACTATGCAATCTGTGTGTTATTAGTGGATGTAAAGGTGTGCTGATTATCTCTTCTTAAGTTGTGAATTTCAAATTAAAAATGATCACAGGGTATTATTTATAATAGCCATAGATAGAAAACAAGTTGCCATGAACAACAAAATAAACAAATTGTTCTTTGTTCTTAGAGCATACAATACAGAGTAAGAATGAAAAAACCACCAACATAACTACCTGTAAATGTGCTTGAATCTTACATAATGTTTAGTAAAAGAAGGTAGGCATGAAAGAGTGCATGTTTTGTGACTCTATTTACATAAATTTCAAATCCAGGCAAAACTACTTTATAGGAAGGCAGAGTCACAGTTTCTTTGGGGAGGGTATTGGGATGCAGGCTGGGGGTCTACGTGGGGGCTAACTCACTTCTGATTGTGCATCTGTGGGCAGGCTGTGGTGAGTTCAGTTTCCAAAGACTACTTGAGCTGTACGCTAATGACTTTTGCATTTTTTGTCTGTTTATTTTCTAAAAAGTCTACTAAATACGGACTACAATATAATCAGAAGATCCTTCAGCTGTTACCAGGAATTGCAATTAGGAGTTAGTGCAGCATTGTGGTTCTAGAAGCACGTTCTTGAGTCCAGCTGTCCTGTTACTTATCAGTCTGTCTTGAGTCCAGCTGCCCTGTTACTCATCTGTCTGACTTGGGGAAATTCCCCTATGCCCTTTGCGTCTCCGTGTCTGCATCCTCACTCGGGGTAGTGTTTATTAGCACCTACTCTGCATGACTACTGATTGGATCAATCACTGAACACTTTCCGTGTGCTTGGAACGTATCCTCATGTGACATGCACACACTTTTTGGAGGTGGACTGATGTTAATAACACTCACATGGTAAAGTACGTTTGATACACTTTTTAGTATAAAACACTAGAATATTCAATGGCACATTCAATTTCTGTAGATTATTCCTTCCTTGAAGTTTGTATTTGTAAATTTTTTATAACGAATGTGTTGTTTTGGGACCATAAATAACTATAATTTTTTTTCTTTTCCAGACAGAGTCTCGCTCTGTCGCCCAGGCTGGAGTGCAGTGGTGCCATCTCGGCTCACTGCAGGCCTCGCCTCCCAGGTTCACACCATTCTCCTGCCTCAGCCTCCTGAGTAGTTGGGATTACAGGCGCCCGCCACTACGCCCAGCTAATTTTTAATTTTTTAATATTTTTAGTAGAGACGGTGTTTCACTGTGTTACCCAGGATGGTCTCGATCTCCTGACCTCGTGATCCACCCGCCTTGGCCTCCCAAAGTGCTGGGATTACAGGCGTGAGCTACCGCTCCCGGCCATAACTATAAAACTTTTAATAGTGGTTACATTTTGGAAAGTCATTTAGTGGAATGTTCTAAGAGGTATAGATCCTCTGACCATCACACCTGGAATTTCAAATTTGTAATTCCACCAAAATAAACACATTGAACAGAGAACTGTTTATTGAAATATCACTCATGTTACAAAACGTGAAAAACACCCTGAAGACTTAAGACACAGGGAGGTCATATAATGTGTTTACTCAGCCAATGTTCTACATTAATTATTTCAAAGTCATATGCTACAGTGTAAAGGCCATTCTATAATCTTCTGTTTGAAATGCAAAAACCAAATTTTTGGATATATCAGTTGTCTCCAAACACATCCTGGAGGGAAATGTTACATTATTCCTAAATTGGTGCTTCTAAGGGTTAAAAGTAAAAAATGTTATTTTGTATTATTTACATTATTCAATGCTTTTCAAATTTTCAGCAATAACCCTATCTTCTGATGAAAATTTCAGTTAAAAGGGTTTATACATTTAACAAAGCGATATCAATCACGAATGTCCATTTTCATAATTAAAAAGTTTCCTATGCACAATTGTTTGAGATAAATAAGAAATTAGAAATAACAAATAAGTTTTACATTTTATGGACACTCAAATGCAAACACTTTGGTTTAAAATGTCATATTTTCAAAGACAAATGGATACAAAATTCTATAAAGAAAATCACATGAAAATGCCTGCCTAAAAGCAAGAAAAATTCAAACTCTAGTTATCTTTGGCTTTTTATAGTATGTGTTGTTATTTCTCCTTTTTATAATAATACTTAGTTTTAAAATTTTCTACAGTTATTACTAAGAAAACCAATAAATAAATGGAAGAATATACTCTATTAAATGTGTTATCAATTGTCTAATTCAGGTTCGTTTCACTCTTTTCCCTCATGGCAAGATGATGCAATGGTTTGACCTGTGAGCGAAGTTGTCTTCAAGGAAACAGTCTGGTGAAGTCTGTTTGCCATTAGTAGATGCTTGTTTTCATTTGGAGGGTTAGAGGAGTTAGGCAATTGGAAAAGTCTATAGAATCAGGCCCTACCATTCAACAAAGGCCAGAGAGACTCCCCCAGGACTGCTCCCATGGAGGCCACCACAGCCCTGTGAGGGGTCCCTGTGGACAGCATCATTCTTCAAGTTTGTCGTCCCAGGACCGCACGTGTTAGACTCGGCAGCATCAGCTGCTCTTCAGGGAGAGTCATCAAGTTCATAAGTGTTTCATCATCTGAAACCCTTTCGCAGAAAAGCAGGCTGGTGTTTCACTGATCACAGAGCAGATTGATCACAACGAAAATGACAAGGCTGTCATTCATCGGGACGACTATACTGGAAGTATCTTATTGGAAATAAAATTCCTCAGGGTATTACATTTCTTCCTTTGTTCCAGTAAGAAAGGAATAATTTATTGTTATTAACTTTTAATAATATATGTATTATAGAATTATATTATCAATTGATATTAATCACCAATGTAACAGTTAATATATATTTAATACAGCAAATATAATTGGTAAAATTATACTAACATTGTTATATTATAGATCACATAAAATAACTCATAAGCATATTTAACCTAATACAAAGCTATAATTTAGAAAGTACTTGCTGTGCATATTATATCTGAAACTCTCTGCAATCCTATTAATTAGGCTGTAGAAATAAGTAGTGTGTACCCCTACAGGTATAAATGGAAAAAAAAGATACTCAAAAGTTTTAGGTGACTTGCAACGTACCTCGGAAAAGAAGAGAACTAAACTAAAAAAATAACTGATTTCAGATCTTGAGCCTTTTCCTCCTGGTGGTATATTTTTCCAGGCAAATCTGACTTAAATTATAAACATTTTTTCCTCTGAAAATCGGAGCAATGTTGAATATTAGTTTTCTTTTCCTCTCTTCTTCCTCCCTCCCTTCCTTTCCTCCTTTTTTCCCCTTGTTTTTAAATAACTGATCTCCCAGACTCCAAAACAGGAAGATGTGGATGAGTGGGAGATGGTTGATAGAGGTTTCAGCCTCATGGTGAGCAACATAATTCTACTTCCTGGGTGAAGCATGACACATCACTTTGGAGTATAAATACCCACTCAAGAAGGAGGGGTGCTCTCCTTCCTACAGTGCAGATGTTACTACTGTGAAGCCTGTCACAACTGGTTTGCTTGCTTTGTCATAAAGGTTTCATTTTGGAAATAGCAGTTCATCTTTAAAATATTTTATTGCTTTTGAATGAACCTAATTGCTGTTCTTTTGCCTTGCGTGGCCGTCTGTGCTGGTGTCATTTGTTTCCTAGAAGTGGATAAATTAATTGATTTGGTTAAGGGGAGTTTTGTTCTGCAGCCTTATGGACTCAGTCCCCTTGTTTCAGTGTCTGTGGAAGAACGGTAGCTTGAACTACATGGCCAAGAAATGCAATATCCACTCTCACTTTTGTTCTCCTGAATAAACCTGAGATATGCTCACCCTGACTAGCTCATGTCCATCTCACTGCTGATTTGCATAATTATACTCATTGTAAACCACCTGTTCAACTTGGGAAGGGGCCTCCTTACATAGACCTAGAGTTAATTAGCTCTGACAGGCACCAGTCTTATCCTGGACACTGTCCCTAAATGGACTCCATTTTTGGGAGCGGACATTAAATACACTTATTTCACTGAGAAGCTGGGCAGCAAGTGAAAATGCTTATCTCCTATAAATTGTGGAAATTCCGTTAAGTCTACTTTTCCTTACCCCTTTTGCGCCTACTTCCTGATTTTTCTTTGAGACATTATGTGATACAGATGGACGATGATCATTCAATTTGGCACATGTGTGTTTTATTTGTCTCAGGTTTCGCCTTTGGTCCAGGCGTACCATGACTCTCACATTTTGCAGTTGTTTTATTTGACGGGACAGACATTGACTGACAGTGGCTGGAGCAGGGCTGATAGTGAATTTCTGAAACGGTTTACCTGATTCTCTGCTTTCTGAGTTCTTGGATATCTGAGAGACAGGGCCTCTATGCTGTTTCACTGCTGGATATATGCTTCATTCTTGGACCATAATTTTTTTTTCAAATTTTTCTAGATGATGTTGCTTCATTGTCTTTTGGAATCTACTAAATAATTCCACTGAATTTTTGAAGTTTATTGGGAATTATTTATTTTGCCTTTATACTTAGAAAATTACTTTCTGCTCCAGGAAAATATAGTTTATTAGTCTAGTAATTTATTAATTGACTAAAATCTACCATTTGTTATGGCCAATGACATGTTTATTTACTGAAAATACATTAAGTCCCCTTTGGTTTTAAGTCTCTTAACATAAGAAAGCAATTTGTTAAAAACTGGCATTACTTTACTCTTATGCTTTCTGTGTCCTTTGCTAAGTATTTCTAAAACAAAATGAAAACCCACGAGTTTAGTCTTGGCCAGGGCAAGATATTTGAAATAAAAAAGGAAATAATATGACCAATTGCAATAATTCTTATTTATAAATTTTAAGTTAATGATAAAAAATATAAAGTGTACATTACAATGTAAAAGGTTACATAAGAAAAGCTGCAATATAAAAAGGATGAATATGTGTCTGATTTAAATAAACATTTGACACGTTATTAATATATTGAACATTAATGATATCTAAAACTATTCATTTTATAAAGGATATGCATTTTCTTTAAGTAGAGAATAATAATAATGAGCATCCATATGTAAATCACAGAATTCTGAACAAGAGAAAGATAGTGCTATCAACGGGAAAGGGCTGACCAGCACCACTGACCCCCCAAAATAGCCAGGTAGAAGAAGAGTCCTACAGCCTATTACAAGGTGATTAATTGACTAGATGCTCTGAGAAGAAATTGGAACTTGGATGATCTGAAGATAGTTATCTCAATTGATTGTTCACAGCCAGTTACAGATAGAATTCCTTGTTCTACATTTTCCTCCCTTCTCACTAGTGCACTTGAGTAGTCTTTAAAAAAAATTGCAACTTCAGAGACCCCCATGCTTGAACCACTGGGAGAAGAAACCTTAGGATGACCTACCTGCATACAATAAATATGTTGGATGTCACGATAAGATAAGTATAAATTGAGGCAAACTTTCTCTCACCAAAATTCTACAGGCAAAATGGGGAGATTGGAAGAAAAGATGTGGGCTTGTAAAATCCAATTACATTTTACTTTAATTTTATAAAGAAGGTTCACATCAAGAAATTCCAAGTGAGGTTCAGACCAATCACCTCAGAATAAACTGATTGGATGATAATGCTGATTCCTAAAGCATCATTGATCTGAGATAGCCATAATTTTTTTTTGATATCTTGAAAGATTGGCAGAAACACAACGGATTAGAACATCTTGATGGAAATTATGAAAATATGAATAAATAACTCACAAGATTAATGTCTTTGTAATAGGTTAAGTGGAAGTATAAAAATACATTTTATAAATCACATATGTGTAAAAGTAAATCATTTTAGAGAAATTTACAAGTTGTACTAGTGTCTTTAATACATTTAAAGAAATTTGACTAAATTTGTAACGTTATATAAGGGTTTGGAATTTTATGTTTAAAATGTTTACAATTACTGGTGGCTTAATATATTGCTTTTAAGTATTGAAAAATTGTATGTTCGTAGATTTGTAACGAGATTTAAGAAACACAAGTATTACTAATCCTTTTTTGCAGACATGACTCTTGAGGGTCAAATATATAGAAATATCTATATTGGTTATTAGCTCTGTAAAATCCCATGGGAATGGGATTTGGGCAATACAGGAACATGCAACTATAAGATACTAACACACACAAAATGTGAACATATATAAGTAAAAATAACTATTAGTGACTATATAATCTATAGGAAATAATTTAATTTCAGTTGTATGGACCTCTTCATTGAGAATATAAATATTTCATTCCCATTCTAGATGGGGAATCAGATTCACAATCTAATGTGCTGTCTCTTTTTAGTGCAAATTCACAGTTCATGTTGGAAATACACTCTGATTTTCACATTGATTTTTAAAAGGTAAAGTGAAGCAAACATACTTTTACGTGGTACACACATGATTATAAATAAAGTTTACTTTTGTCCTCCAGGTAAAGCCACTTCAGCCGATCATACAGCATGCGGCTGGCCAACCAGACCCTGGGTGGTGACTTTTTCCTGTTGGGAATCTTCAGCCAGATCTCACACCCTGGCCGCCTCTGCTTGCTTATCTTCAGTATATTTTTGATGGCTGTGTCTTGGAATATTACATTGATACTTCTGATCCACATTGACTCCTCTCTGCATACTCCCATGTACTTCTTTATAAACCAGCTCTCACTCATAGACTTGACATATATTTCTGTCACTGTCCCCAAAATGCTGGTGAACCAGCTGGCCAAAGACAAGACCATCTCGGTCCTTGGGTGTGGCACCCAGATGTACTTCTACCTGCAGTTGGGAGGTGCAGAGTGCTGCCTTCTAGCCGCCATGGCCTATGACCGCTATGTGGCTATCTGCCATCCTCTCCGTTACTCTGTGCTCATGAGCCATAGGGTATGTCTCCTCCTGGCATCAGGCTGCTGGTTTGTGGGCTCAGTGGATGGCTTCATGCTCACTCCCATCGCCATGAGCTTCCCCTTCTGCAGATCCCATGAGATTCAGCACTTCTTCTGTGAGGTCCCTGCTGTTTTGAAGCTCTCTTGCTCAGACACCTCACTTTACAAGATTTTCATGTACTTGTGCTGTGTCATCATGCTCCTGATACCTGTGACGGTCATTTCAGTGTCTTACTACTATATCATCCTCACCATCCATAAGATGAACTCAGTTGAGGGTCGGAAAAAGGCCTTCACCACCTGCTCCTCCCACATTACAGTGGTCAGCCTCTTCTATGGAGCTGCTATTTACAACTACATGCTCCCCAGCTCCTACCAAACTCCTGAGAAAGATATGATGTCATCCTTTTTCTACACTATCCTTACACCTGTCTTGAATCCTATCATTTACAGTTTCAGGAATAAGGATGTCACAAGGGCTTTGAAAAAAATGCTGAGCGTGCAGAAACCTCCATATTAAAGTGTGAAAGAACTTAAGTTGGTCCTCTCTTCTTAGAGTCTCTCTTCACTTTAGGTGTCCTTCCACCAAACAATCAGCATATTGTGGTAGTGTCTGACTCCCTGAGTTGTCCTTCAGGGGGATTCAGCCCAGTGTTCTTCCCTCCTATAATCACACTTGAGATGATGTTCACTTATCCCCCCCTTCCCTCGTAGCATTGATCTCTAGTCCAGTCCTTCGGGGCCAATGGTCCTTTTTTTAGATTACAGTGGAGAAATATGAAAATAAATGTGTTTATGACCCTTGAGCACCTTCCACCACAGAGAAAATTTGTTTTGCTATCATGGGCCCATTGATGAGTATGAAATAACACCATATTCAGAGTGTTCCTCAGCATCCACTCTGTGCTAAACGCTTTTCGTTCACCACCTCATTCGACCTTCACCCTCTGTGGCTGAGGCTAAGGTCACCCACATTTCACAAATGACAAAACAGCCTTTGAGGCTTCCCCTGACTTGCCCCAAGCAGGGGATCCTCAGGGACAAGGGGGTTCATTCATCCATAGGCATTTGGAGATAAACACATTCAAGACCTCAGAGATGCTAAATGTACAGTTGAGATTTTTCTTCCATCAGAATTTCTAGAATGTGTTCTCAATCAAATTCTTATTTTCTGTGAGCATATAAGAAGTCAAACCTCCCAAAATTAGAGCAGAGACATGGGCTATCCAGTAGACATGGGCTACAACATGTTTGGAGTATAATTGGTTTATTCATAGACTTAACCAGAGAAATATGGAAGTTTCGCACACTTCTCCCTGTTCAAGCCAATGGTGACACATACTTAGAATATAATTTCAAATCACAGTTTTACGTATGTGCATGGTTGTATTTGTATTTAACAAATAACATAATAATTATAACGTCTTGTGTGATTATTATGATCTGGCACCATTTTTAGTGCGTGACATGTATGGAACACTTTTATTTTCACAGCCTATTATTAGCCTTATTCTACAGTTGATTTAACTGAAACCCATGGGTTTGAGTAACATGAACAAAAGGGTGTGCAGCTTATAAAGTGCTCAACAGGGATTTAAGCCCAGGCAGGCAGGCCGGAGTCCCTGCCCCTGACCACTGCATGTGCCACGTCTTGTGGAGTCTGTGGCCTTTTCCACACTGCATTGCCTCTCCCTCTGGGAGGGCCATACTCCAACCTTGGAAACACTATAGTTCTTTCCATACCCAATGTTTTCACGTGGCTTTCCCTCTCTTCGGAATGTTTTTTTATCTGTAAGTACAAGGATACGAAGATAACTTTCCATGACTACATAATCTTCCTTTAGGCCCCAAGTCATTCATTCATTCAACAAATAACTACTGAGCCCCTATAGTTTGCCAGGCCCCGTTCTACAAACTGAGGATACATCAGTGAGCAAAACAAATAAAAATCTTCATCTTTTTTAGCACTTAAAGGGTGTATACAGAAAATAAATTTGGTAATTGAGAAGAAGACATGGAGTATTATCAGAAGAAAAGTGTTGGAAAATCTTGAGCAGGAGAGGGGTCTTGGAGTGTGTAGGGGTCACGTTTTATGTAGGGATTTAGGCTAATCCTCACTGGTTATAGTTGAGCAAAGATGTGGAGTTTACAAGTTAATGAGCCACATTGATATTGGGAGAAATGCTTTCAAGACAGAGCATAGGGACATCTACCAGCCTGTCAATCAAGAGTCCAGTAGGACCATGTCTCAGTAATAGGGATGAACTAGATGTAGATTGAGTCTAACTCCAATTATAAAAAATGATAGTAAAATAAATTTTTCCAACAAACAAAAGTGGATAAAATTCTTCAGCCATAGAAAAATTATCTCAAAAGTAAACTCAGAAATATAAGCAAAAATGACAAACATCAACCCCAAAGAGTAATATGTAAATGAGTCATAATCAATATTGACTTAGCAATAATTTTAATGTAATATACAGTTTAGATTTGTGCAAAACTTAAATGTATGAAAAATCATGTTGAAGATATATCAATATTGATGTAGTAGAGGTAGTAATTTGTGTTAAACTTTAGTAAATCAAGAGTACATGCTGTAATGTTTATAGTAAACGCCAAAACAAGTTTATAAAATGAAAAAATGATAGATTTTTATATTTCTAAAAGAAGCAACGAAAGAATGAAAAAGAGACGTGAAACAGATGGGCCAAATAGAATATGGTTAGAAGTTATAGCTCACATAGAACCCCAATTATATCAGTAATTATTACACATTGCATGCATGTATCAAAATATCACATGTGCCCCATAAGTATGTAGAAATATTATGTATCAATAAAATATGTAATATACTAAATGTTCCAAGTAAAATACTGAGATTATCAGATTATACAATATTATGATTACAGACACCTTAAGTATAAGGATGCAGAGAGACTGAGGCTGTAAGAATGAAAGATGTGGCTCCTCCTGCCAATCACAGCTGCTGGGCCCAGGGTGGTTCCATCCATCCCCCGCCTCACCATGGCTTCCTACAGCCATCGCCAGTTGTCGGGCACATTGTCCTTCCGGGGCCTGGGCGGAGGCTCCGTGCATTCTGGGGCGGGGTCGCCTTCAGCGCAACCAGCATGCACTGGGGCTCCGGCGGCGCGGCGTGTCGGTGTCTTCCGACATTATTTCATACATTATGTACATATATTTCATACATTATGAAATCATGACCACCATCAAGCTCGTTAACATTTCCATCACCTCACAGTTATTTTTTTTTTGGTGTGGTTAGAACACTTAAGATATCCTCTTAACAAATGTCAAGTATACAAGATTTATTCTCTTAACAGATGTCAAGTATACAAGACAATATTGCTAACTATAGTCACCATGCTGTATATTAGCCCTCTAGAAATTATTCACTTTTGCATGACTGAACTTTGTAGCATTTGACCAGTCTTTATTCGTTTCCCTAAACTCCTCACGGGGGACCAACATGCTACTGTTTCTATGAGCTAGTCTACTATTTTAGATAAGTGAGAATATATGGTATTTGTCTTTCTGTGTATTTTTCACTTAGCATAATATAGTTCAGGTTCATTCATGTTGTGCCAAATGGCAGGATTTACTTTGGGCTAAAAAATAAAGAATATTTCATTGTGCAAGTATGTGTATTTATATTTTCATTACATTTTCATTCATTTACAGTTATTTTTCTATTTTTGCTATTGTGAATAATGCTGCAATAAACACTGGTGTGCTGATACCTCTTTGAAATCCCGCTTTCACTTCTTTGGGTGAACCATTACCTAGAAGCATGACTGCTAGACCATATGATAGTACTATTTTTAACTTTTTGAAGAAACTCTGTACTGTTTGCTTATAATTGCTGTGCCAATTTTCATTCTCACCAACAATATTCAAAGGTTTCTTTTTCTCCACTTTCCCTCTCTTTTGTTTGATCTGTAATGATGGCTATTCTAACCGGTGGGAGGTGATACCTCGTTGTGGTTTTAGTTTGCATTTGCCTGATGCTTAGTGATGTTCAGCTCTTTTTATTTACCTGGTGGCCATTTTTATGTCGTCTTTTGAGAAATGCCTACCCAGGCCCTTTGCTTATTTTTAATCAAGGTAATTGGTTTTTGCTATTGAGTTGTTTGAGCTCCTTATAAGTTCTGGATATTACCCTCTTTACAGATATATGGTTTGCAGATATTTTCTCCCATTCTGTAGGTTGCCTTCTCACTTTGTTGATCAGTTGGCCAAATATGCTCGGGTTGCTTTCTGTTCTCCGTATTGTGTTTCATTAGTCTATATGTCCATTTTTCTTTTTTATGACAGTTCTTTACAGTGATAATTCCCATACCTTTGTAATATATTTTGAAATCAATGTGATGCCTCTAGTTTTGTTCAAGGTTGATTTGGCTATTTGAGATCTTTTATGGTTCTAGATGTAGTTACTTATTGTTTTTTTATTTCTGTAAAGAAATACCGGTGATATTTTATAGAAATTGCAATTTATAGATTGTTTTGCTTAATAAGGACATTTTAAACAATGTTAATTATTCAAATCTACAAATTTGAAGATTTGTTAATTATTCAAATGAATGAATACAGTGTCTTTCCATTTATTTGTGTCTCCTTCAATATCTTTGACTAAGGTATTATGATTTTTAGTGTAGGAGTCTTCTGCCCTATTGGATAAGTATTCCTAAATATATTATTTTTTGCTATTTTAAATGGGATTGCTTTCTTATTTTCCTTCAAATAGCTCATCGTTTGTGTGCAGAAATGTCACTGATTTTTGTGTGCTATTTTATGTTCTGCAACTTTACTGAATTTGTTTATTCGAATAGTTTTTTGGTGTAGTCTTAGGGTTTTTATATATATGGCCATGTCACCTGCACAGAGATTATTTTAATATTTTTCTAATTTTGATGCTTTTTTGTCTAATTGCTTTGGATAGGACTTTCAGTACCATGTTAAATAAAAGTGGTGACAATGAACATCCTTGCTTTGTACCAGACCATAGGAGAAACATTTTCATTTTTTATTATGTTAACTGTGGGCTTTTCATATATGATATGTTGTGTTGAAATAAGTTCCTTCTATACCTGTTTTTCAGAGTTTTGACATGAACTGTCAAATGCTTTTGCTGCAATTTTTTTTTATTCTCTTAATGTGTTATATCACACTGAGTGATTTGCCTATGTTGAAGCATTCTTGCATCCCAGAGATACATTTCAGTTGGCTATGGTTTATTCTCTTTTTAATGGGCTGTTGAATTTGGTTTGTTAGTATTTTGTTGAAGATTTTTACACCTATGTTTATCAGTGATATTGACCTGTAGTTTTATTTTCTTTTGATTATCTTTGTCTGGCTTTGATATAAGTGTTTGATGGCCTCATAAAATGAGTTTGGGGCATTCTCCTGGTTTTTGAAAGAGTTTAAGAAGGATTGCTATTAGTTCTTTGAATGTTTAGAATTCATCCACGAAGCCATTTGGTTCGGTCTTTTCTTTGGGAAGTTTTTGTTTACTAATTTGATCTTCTTCCTCTGTTCAGGCTTCCTATTTCCTCTTGATTTAGTTTTGGTAGGTTGCATAAATCAAGTTTGATTTCTTATAGATTATCTAATTTATAAGTGCATAGTTTTCATAATAGTCTTTTATGATCCTTTTCATTTTGAGGCATTTGTTCTAATGACTCCTCCTATTTCTCATTTTAGTTGAGGATACTCTTTTTCTTAGTCTAGCTAAGGTTTATCACCTTTAAATTTTTAAAAAACAATTTAGATTTGCTGATTTTTCTTTAGTTTTTCTAGTCTCATTTCTACTTTAATGTTTTCTTCTGTATTATAACTTTGGACTTAGGCTCTCTATTTCTAGTTTCTTGATATATAAAGTTAGTTGGTTAATTTGAATTCTTTTTTTCATGTAGCTATTCATTGCAATCAACTTTTCTCTTAGTACTGGGTTTGGTGCATCTCATAAGTTTTAGTATAGTGTATTTTTTGTCTGTCTTGAGATTTTAATTCTCTTTTGATTTTTCCTTTTGCCCAGTCATTGCTCAATTTAATAGTATATATGTTAACATGCCAATATGTGATAGAGCACAGAAACCTCCAAATTACTAAAGTTATAGAAGATTTATACAACATACTTAATGGTAACAAAACTTTGTACATATGGAACAATGCTCACAACAATAAGAAAAGTCAAGTTCTTTTCTAGTTCACGTGGGATTCTCACCAAAATCAAACACAGGTGGGCCTTTGACAGAACAATAATATAAACATGACATAAAACGTGTAGGATGCAGCTAACGCAGTGGTTACAGAAAAATTTATCCCTGTAGATCATTAAGAAGAAAGGTTAAATATTGACTAATCTCCTATTTCAAGAAGATAGAATAAAAAAATCTCAAATTATATCTACAAAATGTGGAAAGAAAACGAGTAAAGAATGAAGTAGACACCATCAATTATTTATAAATGTATGTAGAAATCATAGGTTAATATTTGTGTTTCTGATTTCAGTTCCACACCAAAGGTCTATAATCATTTTTCTACTTTCATGTTCTTATTGCATTATTTTTAAAAATATTTTTAATTGAAATATTAAAATATAGATTTTTATGGGGTAGAATGTGATATTTTAATATACGAATATTATTTGTAATGATGAAATTAACCTAATGAACATATTATCACCAATTTTCATGGTGAGACATTTAAAATGTACCCACTTAGCAATTTTGATATATACAACACATATATATTACACATATAATTGTAATTATGTATTATATATAATATACATTATATACACATATGTATTATATATACAATTATAATGTTTTGATATATACAACACAATATAGAACATTGACACATGAACAAGATTTTCTTCTATTTAAAGGCTGAATTACATTTCACTGTGGATATATGTCTTGTTTTCTATATCTATTCATCCATTGATGGATACTTAGGTTGATTCCATATCTTGACTATTGTGAATAATGTTGCAATGAACATGGGAGTGCAGATATCTCTTTGACATGCCCAATTAAATTGGATACATCCTTAGTAATGGAATTCCTGAATCACATGGGGTTCATACTATTAATGCCCACATCAAAAAGTCTGAAAGAGCACAAATAGGCAATCTAAGGTCACACCTCAAGGAACTAGAGAAACAAGAACAAACCAAACCCAAACCCAGCAGAAGAAAAGAAATAACAAACATCAGAGCAGAACTAAATGAAATTGAAATAAAAAATACAAAAGCTATATGAAACAACGTAGGTTCTTTGAAAAAATAAGTAAAATTGATACTGTTAGCAAGATTAATCAAGAGAATAGCCAAATAAGCTCAATTAGAAATGAAACAGGTGATATGACAACCAATATCACAGAAATACAAAAGCTTATTCGTGGCTACTATGAACAGCTTTATGCGTGTAAAGTAGAAAACCTACAGGAGATGAATTAATTTCTGGAAATATACAATGCTCCTAGATTAAACAAAGAAGAAATAGAAACTCTGAAGAGACCAGTAACAAGCAGCAAGATTGGAATGGTAATTAAAAAATGCCAGCAAAAAAAGTCTGGGACCAGATGGATTCACAGCTGAATTAATTGGCATCAATCCTACTGACACTATTCCACAAGATAGAGGGAAAACTTCCTACATCATTCTATGAAGCCAGTATCACCCTAATACCAAACCCAGGAAAGGACATAACAAAACTATAGACCAATATCCCTGATGAACATACATGCAAAAATTCTCAACAAAATACTGTCTAACAGAATCCAACAACATATCAAAAAGATAAATCATCATGATCAAGTGGGTTTCGTAACAGGGATGCAGGGTTGATTTAACATATATGAGTCAACTCGTGATACATCGCATAACCATGTGACTTTTGTTTTTAATTCTGTGTATCTCAATAGTTGCAGAAAAAGCATTTGACAAAATCCATCCCTTTATGATTAAAACCCTCAGCAAAATCAGCATACAAGGGACACACTGTAAGGTAATAAAAGTCACCTATGACAAATCCACAGCAAACATTATTCTGAATGGGGAAAAGTTGAAGGCATTCCCTCTGAGAACTGGAACAAGGCAAGGATGCCCATTTTGGCCACTTATATTCAATATAGTTCTGGAAGTCCTAGCCAGAGCAATCAGACAAGAGAAAGAAGTAAAGGGCATCTAAATCAGTAAAGAGGAAGTTATGCTGTCGGTTTGCTGATAATATGATCGTATACCAAGAAAACCCTAAAGACTCATCCAAAAAGCTCCTGGAACTGGTAAATGAAGTCAGCAAAGTTTCAGAATACAAAATTAATGTACACGACTCAGTAGCTCTGTTAATACAGCAATAGCCACCAAGCTGAGATGCAAATCAAGAGCTCAACCCAATTTACAATAGCTGCAAAATAAAATACTTAGGAATACCTAACCAAGGAGGTAAAAGACCTCTATGAGGAAAACTACAAATCACTGCTGAAAGAGATCATAGATGACACAAATAAATTGAAACACATCCCATGCTTATGGGTGAGTAGAATCAATAATTGAAAATGACCATATTGCCAAAGCAATGGACAAATTCAATGCACTTCCCATCAAAACACCACCATCATTCTTCACAGAAAAACAATCCTAAACAATCCTAAAATTCATATGGAACCAAAAAGCCCACATAGCCAAAGCAAGACTAGGAAAAGAGAACGAAACCAGAGGCATCACATTACTCGACTTCAAACTATACTATAAGGCCATAGTCACCAAAATAGCTTGGTACTGGCATAAAAATCAGTATATAGACCAATGGAACAGTATAGAGAACCCAGAAATAAAACCAAATACTACAGCCAACTGATCTTCAACAAAGCAAACAAAAACATAAAAGTGGGGAAAGGACACCCTATTCAACAAATGGTGCTGAGAAAATTGGCAAGCCACATGTAAAGAATGAAACTGGAACCTCATCTCTAACCTTATAGAAAAAACAACTCAGGATAGATCAAAGACTTAAACCTAAGACCTGAAATTATTAAAAATCTGGAAAATAACGTCAGAAAATGTTAACTTGTAGACATTGGCTTAGGCAAAGACTTCATGACCAAGAACCCAAAAGCAAATGCAATAAAAACAAAAATAAATGGGACTTAATTAAACTAAAAAGCTTGTGCACAGCAAAAGACATAATCATCAGAGTAAACAGACAACCCATGGAGTGGGAGAAAATCTTCAGTCTCTACATCCAACAAAGGACTAATATCTAGAATCTACAAGAAACTCAAATCAGCAAGAACAAAACAAAGCCATTAAAAAGTGGGCTAAGGACACAAATAGACAATTCTCAAGAGAAAATATACAAATGGCCAACAAACATGAAAAAAATGCTCAACATCACTAATTATCAGGGAAATGAAATTCAAAACCGCAATGCAATACCATCTCACTCCTGCAAGAATGGCCATAATCAAAAAATTTTTTAAAAATAGACATTGGTGTGGATGTGCTGAAAAGGGAACTCTTTTACACTGCTGGTGCAAATGTAAACTTGTACAACCACTATGGAAAAGTCTGGAGATTCCTTAAAGATCTAAAAGTATATCTACCATTTGATCCAGCAATCCCACTACTTGGTGTGTACCCAGAGGAAAATAAGTCATTGTATTCAAAAGATACTTACACATGTTTACAGCACCACACTTCACAATTGCAAAAATATGGAAGCAGCCCAAATGATCATCAATCAATGAGTGGATAAAGAAAATCATATATATTCATATATTCTCATATTCGTATATATTCATATATTCATATATATTCATATATTCACATACATATATTCATATACATATATTTATATATACATATATACACATATATACATATATTCCTATATATGCATATATATATATATATATGAATATTACTTAGCCATGAAAAGGAATGAAATAATGGCATTTGCAGCAAACTAGATGTAATTAGAGACCATTATTCCAAGTGAAGCAACTCAGGAATGAAAAACCAAACATTGTTCTCACTCACACCTGGGAGCTAAGCTATGAGGATACAAAGGGATAATAATGATACAATAGACTTTGGGGACTTGGGGGAAAGGGTGGGAGCAGGTGAGGGATAAAAGACTACACATCGGGTACAGTGTACACTACTTGGGTGATGAGTGCACCAAATTCTCAAATTGCCACTAAAGAACTTAATGTAACCAAACACCAACTGTTCCCCAAAAACCTATTGAAATAAAAAAATATATATATATCATAGGTACATCATCCAGGGGCAGTGGCTTATGCCCTATAATCCCAACACTTTGGAAGGCTGAGGTGGGAAGATTGCTTGAGCCTAAGTATTTGAGACCAGCCTGGGTAACATAGTGAGACCTCATCTCTCCAAAAATTAAATTTAAAAAAATTAGGGAGGCATAGTGGCACGTGTCTATAGTCCTAGCTACTCAGGAGGCTGAGGTGAGAGGATCACTTGAGCCTGGGAGATTGAAGCTGCAGTGAGCCACAACTGTGACACTGCACTCCAGCCTGGGTGACAGAGCAAGACCCTGACTCAAAAATGGGGGTATATATTTTACAGGTACATCAAAGTCTTATCTGTGCTCTCCTGAATTCCCTCTCTTAGTGTCCTCAGACCAATTTTTTTAAACAGTAGGTGTGTATCTTCCCTATCAATTTTTAATGTTTTTATTGCAGATATGTGTCCAAATGTAATATTTTAGCAGGATGTATTTGTTAAATGGTAACACACTGATCATTCTGCCACATATATTTTCCTTCAACTTTACTTATTGAAATGTTCACAATAAATTGGTATTAATATTGGTCATGTGTGCATTTTCTTTATATGAATATTTAGGTTTACCACTTTTTTCATGCTTTATAGTGTAACAGAGTGTCTATCCTCGTATAATCTCCTTGGAAGTCTTAGGTAGTGAAGAAAGAACATCTTCAATGTTATGAGATATTACTAAATTCATCTCTAAAGGAGTTGCACTAATCTCTCTAACCATCATTTTCCCTTCTTCATTTATTTAACAAATAATCAATTTTTACTATTATGTTGGTGCGAAAGTGATATATGCCAGGCATAGTGCTAATGTTAGAAAGCAACAGAGAAGAAAATGAATATATTTTGGTCTCCTTGTGCAATAACAAAAACCCAAACAGTGAATAGGTAAAACATATGATGTGGTCATGCCAGATGATGATATATGTTATGAACATAAAATAGGGAGCACTGTTGCAAATTTTAAATATAATTATGGATCAGTCAGAATGCACAAGGTAATGCCATAGTAACATCTCAAGCTGCACAAAAACATTGTTTATGTGATGTTCACATTGTAAATCTGTCAGATGGTACTCAGGGTCCACTCATCAAAAGTCCCTCAAGGACCTAAGATGATAAATTTGTTGACCATTTTGTCATTTTATGTTCTTGAATATGTTTATATTTGTGGCTATACATGAAGCTTGTACAACTATTGAAGTATATCCATAAAAAAAATAAGTGTACAGCTCATTAAGGATTTCATAGCAGTACCTAAAATGTATCTAGAATTTTGCAATTTTACGTATTATCAACCCTCCACCTGCGATTTTTAAACACTTATTTAGTTTTTTAACTTTCATACCTATACAGCTCATTAAAGTAATTTCTAATTATACATATTCATGTGGAATTTTCATTGAAACTTAGAAATAATTAAAATACAAGAGTGAGTTGAGGCTTGTGTGAAGGGTATAAAAGAAGGATTGTTATGTCTGAGGTGTGAGAGTTCTCACTGATTGAGTAGAGCACGCCTTCATAAAGAAATTGTCATATTATCTAAGTGTTTATGACTGGTAGAGTTTATACAGAAATGCATTTGGTAAATTCACAGCAAGGAAGCAGGATACAAGAAGTTATGAAGGAATATGAAAGTGTGTGGTTTAAGGATACTCTGAGATATTGGAAGAAGCAATGTTGGAAGATAGGGTGGGTACCAGCCAAGGACAGAATATGCTCATTCTGTCTCCTGGTGTCAGTATCTGCTTCTGCAGTTGGGCTTATGAGTTGGATTCTGCATCTGAAGATTCAACCAATCATGGACTTAACCAATCATGGATTGAAAATATAATTAGGCTTATCATGGTCACATTGGTACAGACTTTTCTAAATTTTATTTTTGTTGTGACATAGGTGTATACATTTACGGGGTACATGAGATGTTTTGATACAGGAATGCAATGTATAATAAATGCATGATGAAAAATGGAGTATCCTCTCAAGCATTTATCTTTTGTGTTACAATATTACTATATCCTTTTAGTTATTTTTAAATGTACGATTGTTATTGACAATGTCAGTCTATTATGCTAGTACTTATTCATTCTAACAACTTTGTTGTATCCATTAACCATCCCCACCTACCCCTTCACCCCCCCCCAGTACCCTTCCCAGTATCTGCTAAGCATATTTCTAATTTATATCTCCATAAGTCCAATTGTTTTGATTTTAAGGTGCCACAAATAACTGAGAACATGCAATGTTTGTCTTTCTGTGCCTGGCTTATTTGACTTAGCATAATGACCTCCAATTCCATCTATGTTGTTGCAAATGACAGGATTTCATTGTTTTGTGGCTATATAGTACACTATCATGTATAAGTACCACATTTTCTTTACCCATTCATCTGTTGACGAACACATAGGTTGCTTCCAAATTGTAGCTATTGTGAACAGAGCTGCAACAAACATGGAAGTGTAGATGTCTCTTCAGTATATTGATTTCTTTTCTTTTGGCTATATACCCAGCAGTGGGATTGCTGGATAATACGTTAGCTCTATTCTTAGTTTTTTGAGGAACCTCCAAACTGTTCTCTGTTGCACCTTTAAATACAACTTTAAATGCAACTTCACATTCCCACAGAGTTTATGAGGGTTCCCTTTTCTCCATGTCCTCACCAGCATTTATTTTTGCATGTCTTTTGTATAAGAGCCATTTTAATTGGGATGAGATGGTATCTCATTGTAGCTTTGATCTGCATTTCTCTGATCAATGTTGAGCACTTTTTATGTGCCTGTTTTTGATTTGTATGTTGTCTTTTGAGAAATGTGTATTCAATCTTTTATCAGTATATAAATCAGATTATTATATTTTTTCCTATAGATTTGTTTGAGCTCCCTATGTATTGCGGTTATTAATTCCTTGTCAGGTGGGTAGTTTGAAAACATTTTCTTCCATTTTGTGGGATGTCTCTTTGTTGATTTATTTCCTTCACTGTGCAGAAGCTTTTTAACAAAATGTGCTCTCATTTGTCCATGTTTGCTTTGGTTGTCTGTGTTATGGAGTATTACTCAAGAAATATTTGCCCAGACAAATATCCTGGAGATTTTCTCCAATGTTTTCTTCTGGTAGTTTCATAGTTTGAGGTCTTAAAGTCTTTAGTCCATTTTGACTATATCTTTGTATATGGCGAGAGACGGGACTAGTTTCATTTTTCTTCATATAGATATCCACTTTTCCCAGTGCTGCTTATTGAAGAGATGATCTTTTCCCTGGTGTATGTTCCTTGCACCTTTGTAGAAAATGAGTTCACTGTAGGTGTGTGGATTTGTTTCTGAGTTCTCTATTCTGTTTCATTGGTCTATGTATCTGCATTTATGCCAGCACCATGCTGTTTTGGTTATGGTAGCTCTGTAGTATAATTTGAAGTCAGGCAATGGGATTCCTCCAGTTTTGGTGGGTTGGTTGGTTGGCGGTTTTGCTTAGAATAATTTTGGCTCCTCTGGGTGTTTTGTGCCTTCATACAAATGATAGGATAGTGTCTTCTATATCTGTAAGAAATGTCATTGGTATTTTGATAAGGATAACATTGAATCTATAGATTGCTTTGAGTACTATGGATATTTTAACAATATTGATTCTTTTGGTTCATGAACCTGGAATATCTTTTCATTTTTTAGTGTCCTCTTCAATTATTACTGTTTTATAGTTATCATTATAGAACTCTTTCACTTCTTTGGTTAATTCCTCTTTAATTTTATTTGTGGCTATCATAAATGCCATTACTTTTTAAATTTGTTTTAATCTATTTGCTATTGACTTATAGAAATCTGCCTTTTGTATGTTGATTTTGTATCCTGCAACTTTCCTGAATTTGTTTATTAGTTCTAATAGGTTTTTGGGGAGACTTTAGGTTTTTCCAAGCATAAGGTCCTATCATCTGTGAACAAAGATAATTTTACTTTTCTTTGACGTTTGATGCCGTATGCATGTGTGTGTGTGTGTGTGTGTGTGTGTGTGTGTGTGTGTGTGTGTATATATATATATATATATATATATATATATATATATATATATGTTTGTTTCTCTTGTCTGATTGCTCTAGCTAGAACTTCCAGTAATATGTTGAATAACAATGGTAACAATAGTTGCACTAAAGTGCAAGACAAAATCTCCTTTAATTTTCTGTCCACTTTCCTCAAGCAGAAGGAGTCTTGCCCCATAGCCACCATAGCTGGTAATATGCTGAGTCTCACCTGAAGCCAGCATGTCTCAGAGTCTCACCCAAGGCCCTCATGACTCTGGCTGGTATCCAACCCTGATGTGGCTGAGCTGGTATCCAAGATGCAAGACAAAGTCCTCCTCACTCTTCCCTCTCCTCTCCTAAAGCAGAGGAAAGAGGCCTCTTTTGGAGCCACAAGCCGTGGAGGCTGAGGTTAGGGGATGAGTTTAGCTGCCCTGGCTGGTGTTTTAACAGGTCATGTGTCCCCTGAGTCCACTGGCTCTGGGCCCAGATTAGCATTAGGATTTGCAGCTCTTGTGGCCTAGACTGCCCTTCAGGTTTGTCTGTGGCTCCAGAGCCACTTTAGCCCTTCATGGTGAGGCTTGGGTAACTCAAGTTCCAAACACTGGGATTCGCAATTCCCTTCCAGCAATGGCTGATTTAAATGCACCCTTCATGGTGGGTGTCAGCTGAATTTGGTCTGGGTCTTCTTTCTGCTATAACAAGGGCATTGCTGAGTTCAGTGTCTTAGAATTGCTGGCTCTCCCTCTCCCCAGTGCACAGAGAAGCTCTCCATACCACACCTCCACTGCTGGGGGATGAAGGAGTGGTAGTGTCAGTGATGCAATACTGTTTTTCTAACTTCTTCAATGCCTCATTCAGAAATATGAATTTAACTCCATGTACTGTGAGTGCTCACCCGATTTTTGGTTCTTGTAAAGGTGTTTTTTGTGTAGGTAGTTTTTAAATTGGTGTTCTTGCAGGGGGATGATCAGTGGAAACTTCTATTCTGTCATCTTGTTCCATCCTCCAGACTTTTTTTCCTTGTCATTATTTCGTAAAAAAAAAATAGTATAACGGCTATTTACATAGCATTCATATTGCATTAGTTGTTATAAGTAATCTAGACATGATTTCAAGCATACGAGAAGATTGGTGTAGGTTATATAGAAATACTCTGCCATTTCATATTAGGGTCTTTAGCATCATGGATTTTGGTATTTTCACGATGTCCTGGTACTGAGGACAGATAGTGAGGGATGACTGTACACAGGGATGAATACACTACTCAGTATTTGTACGTTTGTCATGCTAGAAAGACTCAGCAAAGTCTCGGAACCTTGCAGGCACTGAGAAAAGTGGCTCCCTTTTTCCATTCTTTTTCATTCCCAAATTATATAATCTAAATTCGATGAGACTAATATTTCAAGGGAAGTCTCTGAGCCTTTAAGGAGAGGGGCGATGTGGGAGAAGGTCACCCTGTCATGGAGAAATCTTAGACCACATTCGGTCATCAGATTCATAGATGTCTTAAGAGTCACAGAAGCATAGCAAGTACATAACACTCCTCCTTTTATTTGATTGAGGAAGTGACACTCAGAGCTTTTAGGGTCTTGACTAAGATTACACAATTAATTGGAAGCAAATATAATAAATGGTAAATGTTTCTTTTAGAACCTTAAATGTTGTCAGACTCCGATATTTTCTCCTGAATCTGGGAAAGCCCCTGCTGTGTTAATGGAAAGTCTCTATAGATGCAACTTTTCCCCACGAAAGATGGCTTTGTAGGGCCATTTCAAAATATGTCAAAGACATACTTTGGGGTGGAATATTTTGATTTTCCTCAGGGTCTGCTATCTGTCATGTGATGCTATACTAGAGTCAGGTTGGAATTTGGTATCTTATTGCCACTCAGAGTCTGTTTTGTCAGTCTTAGGAACTCTATTTCAATGTTATTGCTGGTCAGTTGTGCCTAAATTCCAACAGACAGGGGTATAATGAAGTGTGTCTCCCTTCTTGTTATGTCCTGCAATTAAGCTTTTCAGCTTTCCTGAGATTCTCTTGTCCTAGAAGGGGGTCTGTTCAGTTGATTAGGGGTCTTAGGATTTTATATTTAGTTTACAGATTTCTGACACTGGTTTTCCATGATCCTCCCTTTGTGAAATTCAGATTTGCTTTTACAAAGAGCTTACTTTAAATGTCCGATACGAAAATATAATTTTAAACTAGAAAAATGAAGTTGTTTAAAAATGTGCAATGTCATGAAAAAGATGGATTTGCTTTTGGATAGACGCATCGCATAAATGAAAAACATGTTTAATTACCACGTGGACTGTAACTGGAAAGTTAGAATATAACTATCAAAAACAAATAGCAAAACAAAACAAAAATACCAAAATAATGGATTCTGAGATGGTCTTAAAGAAAGTAGAAGCTCCAGGGAAGAGACAATGCCAAGTACAGGGAAGATGAATAAGCAGAAAAAAAAAAGGGAAAACGGTGCAAAGAATTAAGCAATAAACACTCATCTCAATTCCCTAATGTGAAGAAACTGATGATGTAATTTTCTCATTTTCATTCTGAATTTAAACCCCTTTGCTTTGGCCTTAGAATGGTGAAAGCAGCTTCACTGAGCTGGCGTGGCTTAGATTTATTCTCTGATGGAGCAGAAGAGGTGGAGCAAATGGTTTGTGCTCTATGTGCAATGTTCGTCTCTTTGTGGAAAGGTGTCTTGATAACCCGTTTCTTCAGTGCTTTATAAAGGGGATAAGTAAGGAACAAAGATACCTGACTCTTGTTGCTAGCTCTTTGTAATTCTGACTTTAGGTTTCCTGAAGTCCCAGGTTTTGTTTTTTTTTTTTGGTCTCTTGTTTTGTGTGTATGGTTTTGTTTTTGTTGTTGTTTTTTTTTTTTTTTTTTTTTTTTTTTTTGCCCTAGGAACAGTGCGTTGTATTTCACTTTGCATTTCCACGTGCCTCAGTCACTGTTAGTTTTTTCCTCAGCATTATTTCTCTAACCTGCAGTACAGCAACCCTGAGGATGACCAAACCTCAGTCATGGAGCTCCTGACTCTTCATTAGTCTAGAAGTTAGTGGGCTTTTTAACTTTGAGACAATTGTATCAAGCATGATTGAAACAATTCAACTGGAAAATTAAAACTGAAATATTCAGACAAAGCAGTCACTGAGCAAAGCTATGAATTTATGGGAGGGGGTGGTGATTAGTTTGTTATGCAAAGGAGATGCAGGACAAGAGGATCCCTAGGCTTGGTTGCAGGGCTGCGGTTTTATGAAAGATTCAACACAACTGCCTCATGTGCTTTAACTTCATTTTTCAATCACCATGCACGGAATTTTGGACATTTTAGGCATGATTTTGGGGGATAAATATGGCATTTTGAAAATAAATATTTTGTTTATATTTCAAATAAATACTTGATATTTAGGGCATCTGCAGCATTTATTGCTGTGATTTCTTGTAAAAATATTTCTCTGCCTGACAGTTAATAAATTAAATGCCTTAGATTTCACTGGGGACTGGGAAGAGGGCTCACTGTGCCTACTGCTGCTCTCCTGCTCGGCACTCGTTCTGCACTCCAAGCTACTCTCCTCAGGCAGGCGGGACTCTCCCTCTGCTCCTCTGCCCCAGTCAGCACTACTTATGGAATGCAACCTTGTGAGGAATAGCAGAATAAATTGAAAAGTTTTCATGAGGAAAGTGGACTTAAATGGAGATATATAATGGTAGAAGAAATTTAAGGAGATTTCCAGTTTTCAGATTATTTCATGGTATTAGTTATGATATTTGTACCATTAACAATATTAATATTAACCTTATCAGCCATGATTTCCATCACTGAGTCCTGGATGAGCTACTGTATCCAAAAAGTAGTGAAAATCTCAACCCAACACTAACACTGTGTTACAGACCTAACGTGCATTCCCTACTTCAGTCTCTAACCATCCCACAAGGCCAGTATACTTGTGTTCTTAATTCTGGGGGGAAATAAGACATAGAGTGTACCTGTCTTCACTCTTGACTTAGCTCAGGAATAGTCACCTCCCCAGATCTGTTTCGTAGTTCACTTTAGCTTGTGGCCAACATGCGACTTGACCTAAGATTTGAACTTATGATTTTATGTCAGTTTAACTCAATATTTAGAAAAATAATTCAAAGCACATGTCTTACCAGAAAAAGGTTAGGAAAGCCATGTACATAGGAAAGATTTAAAATTAATGACTTTTTTTTCCTCAGGGGGAAACTGTGAGCCAGTCATGTGCTCAGGGAATCAGACTTCTCAGAATCAAACAGCAAGCACTGATTTCACCCTCACGGGACTCTTTGCTGAGAGCAAGCATGCTGCCCTCCTCTACACCGTGACCTTCCTTCTTTTCTTGATGGCCCTCACTGGGAATGCCCTCCTCATCCTCCTCATCCACTCAGAGCCCCGCCTCCACACCCCCATGTACTTCTTCATCAGCCAGCTCGCGCTCATGGATCTCATGTACCTATGCGTGACTGTGCCCAAGATGCTTGTGGGCCAGGTCACTGGAGATGATACCATTTCCCCGTCAGGCTGTGGGATCCAGATGTTCTTCCACCTGACCCTGGCTGGAGCTGAGGTTTTCCTCCTGGCTGCCATGGCCTATGACCGATATGCTGCTGTTTGCAGACCTCTCCATTACCCACTGCTGATGAACCAGAGGGTGTGCCAGCTCCTGGTGTCAGCCTGCTGGGTTTTGGGAATGGTTGATGGTTTGTTGCTCACCCCCATTACCATGAGCTTCCCCTTTTGCCAGTCTAGGAAAATCCTGAGTTTTTTCTGTGAGACTCCTGCCCTGCTGAAGCTCTCCTGCTCTGACGTCTCCCTCTATAAGATGCTCACGTACCTGTGCTGCATCCTCATGCTTCTCACCCCCATCATGGTCATCTCCAGCTCATACACCCTCATCCTGCATCTCATCCACAGGATGAATTCTGCCGCCGGCCGCAGGAAGGCCTTGGCCACCTGCTCCTCCCACATGATCATAGTGCTGCTGCTCTTCGGTGCTTCCTTCTACACCTACATGCTCCGGAGTTCCTACCACACAGCTGAGCAGGACATGATGGTGTCTGCCTTTTACACCATCTTCACTCCTGTGCTGAACCCCCTCATTTACAGTCTCCGCAACAAAGATGTCACCAGGGCTCTGAGGAGCATGATGCAGTCAAGAATGAACCAAGAAAAGTAGTAAAGGACAAGCATTGTCCCCTCCTCTTTCTATAATTCCGTTACTCCCTATCTCTCCTCTCTTTTGCCCTCAGGTCTCCGGGTCCCCAGCACAAAGCCCACTCATATTTTCCTTCTTTCTTATACGTGGCGTTTTCCCTCCATACTGCTTATTGCTCCCATTTATCTCATTAGATTTAATATCTTTAGAGTGTTTTTAACTGCACTGCAGTAGCTGACCTATGAAAGACCTTATAGAGTGCCTTTTATCTTATCTCCCATCCCAGGTTCATTGAGCATTTTAGTATGAGACTTGGTCTTAAACACTTTACCCCTCGAAGAGACTCATTGTAAAGACTTAGAATCCTAGCAGAGCCCTAGAGGAGGAGTATTGGCTGCTCCCTCCCTTTGCAATACATTGTAAACCTCGGTTCACATTGGCAGCCACTGGGGTCAGTGTTTCTGCTATTGTATCTCAGTAAGTACAAAGAAACGCATTTTCTCCAAAGGCTGAAGTGAACTTTGTAGTGTAAACACCAGTAGTTTTAGCATTGGCCATTGGAACCACCTAAACCAAAAATGAATCCATTTCAAAATTCAAAGAATAGGTTCATCTATTTCATAGTATGTAAATAAAAGTAGTTCCAGATTTAGTTTCTTTAGGATTTAGTCTATTCCAGACAATGGTCTACTATGTTTACAATAAATATCATAACAGTCGCGTGCGATAATGGAGACTTAGGAAAGCTTAACCCCCTCGGCATGTTTCTTCTGAAACTGGGAAAACCAGCAAAATGGTTATAAACTTGTCACTAACCTTTAGTTTGCCAGATGTATATCATGCTACAAACGTAACTTCTGTAAATCTATGAGCATCAGATCACTATCATTTTCATTAACAAAATAATTCATGGGTGTAGTATTTCTGGAACGTGAGAAATTAGGAAAGAAATACATTTGTTCTAATTAATATGCAAGAAGCTGAATCTCGAGCTGTATCGTGAAGCTGTTAATTTACTTCCCCTTGGCACAGCCCTGACCATGCCTGATTTACCGACAATGAATGGAAGCCAGGTGTTCCCATGCCTATCGCATCTTCGAGAGAAATGACAAGTACTTGCTTTACATGACACATCGACCGAACACTTTTGCTTCTCACTGAAAATTATTCCTGCAGTGCATGAAAGGAGTTTGTCTGAGTTTGTGTACAGAGATCTGAATTTGGAAGTAAATTCCACCAAGTGGTGCAGAAATATCACTTGTAAGAGGGGGTTGTTAGAGGTAGGTAAAATTTGGTTTCAGAAATTGCTGTAATTAAATAAATGGGCAAAACTGCTCAAATGGACACCACAGATGACTAATTTAACAATGTTCTTATGTTGTCATTATATTATTTATATAATTATTTACCTCAGGAAGGTGTACAGAGTGGGATTGCTGAATTATAGAGTAGCTCTATTTTTAATCTTTATAGAACTGTCATACAGCTTTCAACACAGGCTGTTGCAACTTACGTTTCTACCAGCAATGCACATGTACAAGTGTTCCATTTCCTACACACACTTGACAGCACTTGCTATGTATTGCCTGGTAATAGCCATCCTAGCAGGTGTGAGCTGATATCTCATTGTGGTTTTGATTTGTGTGGCCCTGATGATTAGTGATGTTGAACATCTTTTCATTCACCTGTTGGCTATTTGTATTGCCTCTTTGGAAAAATGCCTATTCACACTGTCTTTACCATTTTTAAGTTGGGTAATTTGATATTTGCTAATGATTTTGTCAGTTTCTTTTATATTTTGGATGCTAACTCCTTATCCAAAATATGGTTTGCAGATATGTTCTCCCATTGCAGAGATTACCTTTTCATTTTATTGTTTCCTTTTCTGTGCAAAAGTTTTTGCATGTTGATGCAGTCCTACTTGCTTATTTTGCTTTTGTTGCCTTAATTTTTGTGTCATATCAAAAATATCACGGCCAAGATCAATGTCAAAGAGCTGTTTCCCTATGTCATCATCTAGGACTTTTACAAGTCCAGGTCTTCCATTTAAGTCTTCGATCCATTTAGATTTGGTTTTGGGGGAATAGTGTAGGATAAGAGTCCAATTTCGTTCCTCTGCATGTATGTATCTGGTTTTCCCAATGCCATTTATTGAACAGACTATCCTTTCTTCATGCTGCATTTTTGGCACCCTCATCAAAGACTAATTGACCATATAAGCATGGCTTTATTTCTATAATTTGTAATATAGTTTGAAATCGGAGTCAAGCCTCCAGCTTTGTTCTTTTTATCAATATTGCTTTGGCTATTTGATATTTTTGTGCATTCACAAAATTTCTAGAGTTGTTTTATTCTATTTATGTAAAAAATGCCTGTGGAATTTTAGTTGGGGTTATACTGAATCAGACATTTTCTGGAGTAATATGGACATTTAAAGAATATTAGTTATTCTAACCCATTAACATGAGATATCCTCCCACTTATTTATCTCCTCTTTAGTGAACAGATCTTTCACTCCCTCAGCTGTATTTATTCCTATGTATTTTATTCTATTGGATGGTATTGGGAATGGTATTCTTTTCTTAATTACATATTTGGATGGTTCCTTTTTGGTGTATAGAAATACAACTCATTTATATATGTTTATTTTGTATCCTGCAAGTTTCTTGAATTCTTTAACTCTGATGGGATTTTGGTGGAGTCTTTAGAGTTTTTTATATGTAAAATCATGTCATCTGCAAACAGATGGCAAGATAATTTAACTTCCTCTGATTTGAAAGCCTTTTCTTTCTTTTTATTGCCTAATTGCTCTGGCTAGTTTCCGGTATTATGTTGAATAGAAGCAGTGAGAGTGAGCACTCTTGTCTTCTTCCTGATCTTAGCGGAAAATCTGTTTCTCTCCATCGAGTATGATTTAGCTGTGAGATTTATTATGTAAAGGCACATTCCTTCTATAACAAATCTGCTGAGTTTTTATCATGAAAAGATGTTGAATTTTATCCAATGCTTTTTCTATGTCTATTGAGATGCACAATTGTTTTTGTCATTTATTCTGTTAATGTGGCATATCATATTTATTGATTGGTGTATGTTGAACCATCTTTGCATCTGTGGGAAAAAAACTTGGGACCCCAATTTACTATGCCAAAAGGAAAAAAGATACTAAGCTGAAAGCTGAGTTATGCAAGAAACTGCATTTCCTTTGGTTTTTGTTTTTTGTTCCTAATCAGTTAACTACTGATAAAATGTTAGAGTAACAGGCAGTAACTCCACATTCTCCTTACCTGACGTAAAGCGATGATCCTTCTACTGAGTGTGAAAGGAATACATAAATGACTATTCACCTACCTGCTTCTTTGCTTCTTTTCTTCTTGCAACCTGTGGATTATCATACTCTCCCTCTTTCCCCTCTAGCCTGCTTTCCCCTTTAAATATTAAAGTCCTCAAAATTATCTTTAAAGAAAAGCACAGACCACAGACTGTTTCTGTAATTGTGTTCTTTTTTCCAAGCATGTCCTTTACCTTGGTGAAATAAACTTTCAATCTGATTGAGACCTGTCTGACATACTTTTGGTTTATACATCCTAGGAATAATCCCACTTGATTAAGGTGAAGTATCCTTTTAATGCACTGCTTTGGTTTGTTAGTATTTTGTTAATTTTTACCAAAAATTATGAAAGCTGTTTGTCAGGAATATTGACCTATAATATTTTGGGAGTTAGTGTTCTTATCTGGCTTTGGTTTAAAGGTAATGTTGGCTTCAGTAAATGAATTTGGAAGTGTTTTTGCCCTTCAATGTTTTGAAAAAATCAGAGGAGGATATGTGTTAGTTCTTTAAGTGCTTGGATGAATTCATCATGAAGTCTTCTAGTCCTAGGCTTTTCTTGGGAGTTTTTTTTTTTTTTTTTTTTTAAGACAAAGTCTTACTCTGTTGCCCAGGCTGGAGTGCAGTGGCATGACCTCGGCTCACTGCAACCTCCGCCTCCTGGGTTCAAGTAATCATTTCATGTGCTGAGTACTCTTATACCTACTTTCTTAGCAATTTTCAAGTACATAATTGTTGAAACTGTAGTCAGCATGATGTACCATAAACCTCCTGAACTTATTTCTCCTGCTTAAATAAAATTTTGTATCCTTTGACCCACATCTTCTCTTTTCCTTCCTCACTCCAAACTCTGGTAACCACCATTTTATTCTTTGTTTCTATGTGTTTGACTATTGGACACTTCACATATAAATGAAATTGTGCAATATTTGTCCTATACCAGGCTTATTTTATTTAAAATATTGTCCTCTGGGCTCATCCATATTTTTCCAAATTATAGAATTGTCTTTGACTTTTGACAAACTGATCATAATATGTCTCAGGTATAATGTTTTGGTTTGTTCTTGCTTGGGTTCCTTTGAACTTTATGAATCTGCATGTCCCTATCCCTCACAAATTTAGGAAATGTTGTCATTTTAGCTTTCTGTTTTTCTCTCTTCTCCTTCTGTGAATGTCATAATACACATATATATTTGCTTGATGTTGTCTTATAGTTCCCAGATGCTTCTGCATTTTATTTTTTTTGTTCCTCTAACTGTATGATCTAAACTCAAGTTCATTGCTTCCTTTCGCTGTATGATGAAATATGTTATTAAAGTACTCTGTTGACCTTCTCACTTCCATAATTGTATTCAGAATATTTTACAAGCTTTACACTAAAGTTAACGAGATTTACACACCTCCATTACAGTACTAGAGTGTTCCAAATTTGACTACAAATCTTCTCAGCACAAGAATTCTTTCCTTTTATGATGTCAATGTCTTTATTATATTTCTCATTTTGTTTATGCATTTTTTTATTAGTTTTAGATCTCTGCTATTTTGAAGCTCTTTGATCCTATTTAATATGATTTTAAAATTCTTAGGCAATTCATAGATTTCCATTTCCTTGGGGTTGCTTAATGAAGCTTTATTACTTTGGTGGTATTTATTTATTACTTTGGTGTCACATTTGCCTGATTTTTTGTGACTCAAGTAGCTATGCATTGATGTGTGCACATTTGAAGTTGCAAACAGCTCTTCTGGTCTGCATAGACTGGTTTCGGTAGGTAAAGACATTCTCCTGTCATTTCTCTAGGCTAATAAGAATTACCTCCAGGACTGCAGTTGAGCAGGGTTAGAGCCATGTCATGTGGCTACTCCTGAGTCTACAGCAGAATTTTTAGTTGGCAAGCTTGTTACCAGAAGTCGAGTTGAGTATAAATCCTGTCTGGTCTCTTGGTAGAGAAGACTGCCTCTAGTACCTTGGTCAATAGGGCTATCGCTAGGACACTCTGCTTCAGGGTTCACATTTGGTTCTGTAGATGGCATGCCTCTTACGAGGTACAGAAATGGGTGTGGATTCTATTGAGTCCCTTGAAGGACTCCCATTATATTGGTGGGAAAGTCTCTGGGCAAGAAGGATTGTCCCCAGACCACAGTTGAGAGGACCTGGAACTGAGTCTCAGGGCTGTGTCATGGACCACAGCTGAGTCTGAGGTCTTCTGTCCTGCATGGATGGGTGTACCTCCTGCATAGTCCCTGTAAATATAAGATATAAGATATCCCCAAGCTGTGGTTGAATGGAAGCTGGAGCTGGATAAGAGGGCTGATTCAGGATCTCCAGCTGACTGATGTCAGCAGTCTTGTTTACAGGGGCATCGATCAATGTGTCACCCAGGAGGTCACTGAGTGGGCAGGACTGCTTTTGAACAATGGAAAAGGGTGCCAAGTAACAGAGCTGCTTCAAGATTGGCAGTCGGACGTAGTTTTGAGAGCCTGCCTCTAGGCACATGAACAGGGTTGCCTCCTGGCAGGTCTCTGTGCAGGAAGGTCTATTCCCAGACCATGGCTGAGGGGGACTGGAGCTGGGTCATGGACTGCTTCAGGGTTCAGAGCTAGAACTAAGGTTAGCAGGCCTGTTACTTGAGGGTACTGGTCAATGTGAGTGCCCCTGGGCCCCTTGGCAGATGGTTCAGGTGGCAGGACCAATGCCAAACAGGGCACTAGCTGAGTCCAGAGGGATGTTAATTCTGTGTCTGTAGCCAGGACCACAGTCAGTGAGCCTGCCACCTGGGTGTGGCCCTGCCTTCTCAAAATAGCTCTCTTCAGTGTTGGGATTCACCAGTTTTGACACTTCCTGTCAAGATCCAGAAGTTCCCACCAA
The DNA here is from genome assembly GCF_000001405.40 of Homo sapiens. Classification (NCBI taxonomy): domain Eukaryota; kingdom Metazoa; phylum Chordata; class Mammalia; order Primates; family Hominidae; genus Homo; species Homo sapiens. The sequence continues at coordinate 248,567,630 of NC_000001.11, read as the reverse complement.
GGGACTTTTGTGCCAGACAGGCTGCTATATTATTGCTGCTTTGAGGGGATACGATTATAGGAGCTCCTCTTCAAACATCTTGCTAATGTTTTTAATCTCTTTGTATTAAGAATATTTCTCTAGCACATTATTCAACTTAGATTTTACTCAATAAGTTAATTTAAAACCTGTGAAACCAGACAGCAAGTTATCTGCTGTCAAAATGCAACAGTGACACTCACATATAGGATAGACATTCCTATTCTGAAAAAGAGAAATTGGAAGTTAAATAGAAGTCTTAGAGCCAAAGCAAACTTGAAGCCTGGCAGGGCAAGTTTCGTTAGATTTCAGGACTTGAGGTCCTCTTTGGCTTGATATCCTGACCTCCAGTCCATAAAGGTGGTGGCCCCTCTTCCTTTGTTCTGTGCATGTATCTTGCATTTCTTTATATCTCTGATGGTGCCTTCAGGATCATTTACAAAATGTTTGACATGTTTTATATATTTATAGTTTAATTCTTAAAATGTTATTTTTGTTTTTATAAATATTTTCTCAGTTTACATTTAAAATGTAAAAAAAAAGTAGAACTTTAAGCAGGGTTTCCACCATAAATATTAATGTTGAAAAAATATATATCAATAGCTTTTCTGTCACTGTTAATGCTTTTTAAGTATTTTTAAATGAAAAATATTCTCCAAAAAATTAAATTATAAAAATATCTCAGAATCTCAATTATTGTGGAAGAATTTTATTAAAATTACTTCAAAATCCAGACCCGACCTCTAAGTATTTGGATATCTCTGTGAGACCTATTGTGCTTGTTTATAAAAATCTGCAACATTTTAACAATATCAATTCTTCCCAAATGTATTTCATTGTATTCTAATCAATACAATTAGTTAGATCTTTTGAACCTAGCCAAATAGATCAACTGAAAGGAAAAACAAAAACTTGCTTATTTTGAACATGAACATACATGAAGACAAGAATTGTTTCACTAGTTGTTTAAAATTATCATGAGGGGACACCCAATAAAACAAGATATTTTAAAGGAATTCAGTGAAAGACCAATGGAAAAGAAGAGATAATGTGGAAACTTAGCCTCCCCTGCACTGGCTTCTGGTATAAGATGTTGACCCTCCTTCCTTGTGCGATCCCGTTGTTTCCTCCACACACACTGGTTCTCAAAACCATGATTTTAGGACTGCCTTCTCTTATGAACTCTGGATTCGTGTATACACTAGCCTTGCATCATCTTCATGTAGATGTGTACTGGGCAACTGGAGTCCCAAATTTCAGTTTCAGCGTTCCATGCCAACCTGCCCAGCCCCAATATTCCTGTGTGTATAAACGGCAATCCAACTTCTCCTCCTCCACCACACCCCTTGCCCAGACACCATATGTCTCATCAGGACTAGCTCAAACCCTTTCCTGCATTCTCGCTCAAGCCTTCTCAGTGATAATCATATACCTGTTCCAAATGTCTTTCCTCTCTGTCCGTCCTCCAGTGATATCTCAGAGTGGGATTAACCAAGAAGCAAGGAGAGTCAAAGCTTTGGGGCCCTTCACTCTCTGGAGATTCTCTGAGTGCTGTCTGTTGCTGGGAGTTGTATGGTGGGGTGGGGTGGGGAGGGGAAGCCAGGCTACAGTCAGAACAGACTGTGAGCATGCCTGGTAAACTTCCTGAAGAGTTCTTAGAAGACAGGGGCCAAACATTGGCTGAGACTTCCTTTCTTTTTCTAAGTGCACATGCACTCTCTTGAGTGCCGTGTATACTTTTGTCTTCCCTTTCTTAAACACACCTCTGCCTGTCCCTGGTCCTTCCCAGGACCATCATGATATTATACGACCTGTTCTTGGCTCCATTTCTAACCCCATTTTCTGTTTTGCCAACTTTCTCACCTCAATCTGGGGCCACAGATCTTCTTGCTGCTGTTCAAACGTTGCAAGTTACTTTCAGTCTCACAGCTTTTAACTTTCTCTGTTTCCTCTGCTTAAACATCTCTGCCCCGTTGTTTACGAGTGACTCCATTGCTTCATTTACGGATCTGATGAAATTTCACCTTCTAAATAAAGGGCTCCTAACTAGCCTGTGTTAAATAGATTCGCTAATCATTCCTATCTCATCTCTCTGCCTTTATTTTTTATTCACTGTGATTATTAATACTTGATATTTCATTACATATTTATTAGTTTATTGCCTGTATTTACCACTAGTATATAAATGCTGTGTGGGAAGAATCTTTGTTTCAAACATCATAAACCTAGATAGTGCCTGGAACAGTTACTAATTATTTTTGAAATTAAAGAAAATATCATTCAACATTGGAATTTAATCTTTAATTAAAAGCAATAATGTTAGCAATTCACTGCATATCACACCCAAATAAATTATTTTTGTATTATAACTCAAAGGTACCAAAAAACCTCTGAAACTCATTAAAAGTGTAAAGGTAGATGCTTTACATAATCCCCAAATGCATAAAGACTTTGTAAGCACGAGACAGTTAATGAAATTATTAAAGTTAATATATTAAACAAAATACTTTAAAAAATTCTGATGAAACAAAATATCAGAATGAAAACTGAAATATAAATATTTTAGTTGATACTATTCACAAAGAGTTACTATTTTTTTTCTTCTTTTTGAGACAGAGTTTCGCTCTTTTTGCCCAGGCTGGAGTGCAATAGCGTGATCTTGGCTTGCTGCAACTTCTGCCTCCTAGGTTCGACTGAGTCTCCTGTCTCAGCCTCCCAAGTAGCTTGGATTACAGGGCACGTGCTACCACGCCAGCTAATTTTGTAGTTTTAGTAGAGATGGGGTTTCACTATGCTGGCCAGGCTGGTCCCGAACTCCTGAGGCCAGGTGATCCACCCACCTCGGCCTCTCAAAGTGCTGGGATTACAGGTGTGAGCCACCGCATCTGGCCAGTTATTATTTTCATACCAAAAACACATTTATATTTATAAAGAAAACATTTCAATAGAAAAAAATGTGAAAAGGATAAAAACACACGTTTCACAAAAGCAGTAGTTACATGGATAAACATGAAAAGTTATATAAACATATTAATTAAAAAAGACAAATAATGATACACCTATGAAATTGACCAAGAAGGAAAAGCACACATAATTCAGAGCTGGTGCAAGTGAAGTTTAATTCTGCAGCAAAATTTGAAGAGGCTTTTGGAAAAGTAATTCAATGTTGTATATTAAGAAGTGTGAATCACCGTATATCAAATGGTAGATTGTCTCAGGGAAAAACTGACATTCAGAGTGTATTTTTTGTATAATTAGTTTTATTTCTGCATAATTTATAATGTTGAAATTTTTAATGTCACTATTCACTCTTAGGAGAAGATTGCAATTGTGATATAATTACTCTGATAGATATTAACTCCAGTAGATACTGTCCAGTCATATACGAACACTACATATTGCAAACCGAAGAGATGTAACACAGAAGATTGGTTAGAGGTGGCAAAGGGTTACAGGGAAGGCTGGAGAAGTGGGCAGGGGAGTGTTGTCATCCAAGGACCAAGAGTCCTCACCACTGGAGCCCCATGTGCCCCTCACTGCTGAGCTGATGGGAACTCTGCACTCCAGGGCTGCTGAGAGAACCCTGCCCTGGTGATGTGCAGCAACCCAGATGCCTGCATCTCCCCAATACGACTGAAACTGCCTCTCAGGTGCTGAAGTCTGAGGCCCCCCATGGTCCCTGTTGCTTATAGCTGCTGACCCACACCCCCATCAGAAACGGAAAAAAGTAGTTTACTTCTTCCTCTCACCCTGCAGTGTCCACCCACAAGGGCCTGCACTCTCAGAGCCTTACGAAAAGTGAAGTAGCAAAGAAGTCAGGACAAACCACGTGCAGGCTGCAGCACTGTGGGTCAGAGACTCCAGCCCTCAAACGTGCACCTAAAAACAGGACATTGTCTAGACAAAGGTGGTCATGAAAAGACCTCCATGATGTAGGAAAATGATCAACATTTTTCCAGAGCACGTCTTTAGAGAAAAGTTCAGAGGAATTTGGCTGCAAGATCTAAGATGGCGGTGCAGTTTCTTCTGTCTTCTTCCCTGTTTTATTCCAACAGCCTAATACAGGGTATACACTCAATGAATATTTGTAGTTTAAAGGGAAGATATAACATTTAAAGTATCATTTTTGTCTGGTTTATTACATTAGAGTCGATTTTAAAATTTTTATTCAACCAGTTTTATTTTAGATTTTTCTATGACTTTAATGACAGTATTTAAAACAAAAACAAAGATAAAAATCAAATGCAACACTAAAGCAATAAAGATTGCAAGTGAGTGAGAGGGAAACAGACTACAATCGGTCCTAATGAAGAGGGAGAAAGATGGAGATATGAAGATGACTCCAATTTTAGTTTTAATCAAGGTACTGATTTGTGGAGGTATCTTTGACACATCAGTTGACCTCTGAGTTTCAGATTCTATACCTGTGAAATGTTAGAATAAAAATAACAATATCTTACAACATTTACTTGAATATTAAATGAAGATCACACATATATATGGAATATATTTTATAATGTGGAAAAGGCTAAGGCTGTATATGAACTAACTCCTATATTTCATAAATAAGATTTTGATGATGATGAGATTTGAGATTACTATTACTAATATTGGTTAAAAGTTTGCATTTCATAACAGAGGTAAAAATTGTAAAAGCTATTAGAAGAAAACCAGAATTGTTCAGGAGAGATACCTACTGACTTCTTTAGCTCTCTTAATTGCATTCTTCTTCAACTCCCAGAGGTGATGTATCAACCGAAAGCTTTCAACCCCTCCCCTAGTACACACGGTAAAACCAGGCAGGTCACTTTCTTACTCCTGTTGGTGCTCTTAACCTGGCCACACACCACCAGCCCATCTAGGTGAGGTTCAAGACATCATCTGATGGTGAGTTCGGCCAGACAGACAGGAGGTACTAGCAGGAACAAAAGGGTCATCACTGCTCTCGACTTGTTCTGCTTCTGAAACGTTCTATTAGTTCTTCACAGCATTTCCTCATTTTTTCTTTATCATCTGTTTTTAATGGAGAAAAGCAAATGTTATTCTTTCTTATAACTTCTATACAACACTTATTTACTGTGACATAATGGTAAATGGATTTTTAATTTCCAATTATTTATGGACATAATAATATATATTCTATAGTTTTAGATTTTCATACAATGATGTATTTATTTTCCTGTCACTGAAGTTTTATAGAGGAAAAGTGACTGATTTTCTTTTGAGAGGGGATTATTTCTGAGGGTTACAAAACACTAGAAACAATGTCTCAATCATTTTATGTTTCCTTGATGAAACCCACAGACAGTGGCCTAAATCCAAAGTGTAGACTGCAGAGGGAGGATGGTGTCCCTGAGAGGAATCAGGCAGAGTTACGTGCGCTGGCTCTCACTCTCGGGCTGAGACGTGCGTTCTATCTCAGGTTAGGTGTGTGATATTAGGCAGGTACCCTGAGAACCTGCATTTTTTAATATGTAAAGAGAGAAAATAATAGGAAGTAACTCATAGGCTCTTGGGAAAGAAGAAATGTAAAGTATTAATTTTAGTATTAGTATTAGAACAATTCCTGGGATGCTGTATGCTTCAAATAAAGGTTTGACTCCATTTATACTTATAATAAATCCCCAAGTTAAACATGCATTAAGCAATTTACATGAAAGTCAAACAAGCGGGTACAGAAGAAGAATGAACAGGGGGCCAGTTCACTGTGTGTGGATAGTGTTCCCTTATCTGTCCCGTGTCCTGGTTGAGCTGTTGATAGTGGCTTAATGATAGTGGCTTAATGATAGTGATGGCCATTTCCTAAAGAGCAGCAGAGATTTCTTAGGAAACCCCGCATCTCCCTGCCCTCCTGCTCCCCCTCAATTTACTGAGCAAACACCTTTTAGGTCTTCACATGTGCTGGTCGCTCCTCTGGTCCTTGCTTCACTTTGGCCACAAATAATGGACGAGGTCAGCAGGTGTGTTTTGCAGTTTATTGGAATGTTTTTAAATTGTACACAGATCTCAGCCACCATTTGCCAGTAGGGGTAGTGTTTGATACACATTATCTATCTATCTATCTATCATCATCATCTATTCATATATATACATATGTACATAAAATGTGTCTCAGATTTGTTGGATATTTATATTAAAGCACCGAAGCATCCCAGAATGTTGGAAGTTTTGGTGAGTTGAATGTCTTAAATACTTTTTGTAATTACTACAAGAATACAAAATATATTTGAAACTTGTAAATTCATTCCAAAATGTCCCTGCATCATAATCACAGCTAAAGTCTTCCCAGAAAGAGGAGTTATTATGTCCTTATTCTTGGCAAGGGCTCTCAAAATTTAACATTTAATATGTCAGAAGTTGAAAAGTTGGAAAGTTTTAATTTCTTTCAGAGAAAATGTGGAAACAGCTATTATGGATTATTTCAGAACGGCCAGATATATTTTGTGTCTATTGCCCTTATTTATTTTGTAACTATTTAAAAATTCAACTTCAAATCACATTTACATAATAGTTGTTCCCTGAATAGACTGACTGTGACCTCCTTAAGTGCACTCAAGTTCAATTTTTCTTTGATTCATCTTCTGCATATAACACAGAGGCTGTGAGTATCATGATAGAGAAGGAAACAGTGAGTTGAAGTCAGAGGCGATTCATCGTCAGTATAACACAGGCTGTGAGTGTCACGGTAGAGGGAGAAACAGTGAGTTGAAGTCAGATGCCTCAGTGTTGTTTGATTTTCCTCCCTGCTTCTCAGTTTGTATGAAAGATTGATTGTGGCAAGTAATAAAGCACATGAGGTTTGCAAAAACAACTAAAGCCTTGTCTGATAAACAGCAGTGACCCTCCAAATTCTAGTTCTTCCTCGCTGAGATTTAATGAGCTTTAAAATGAGAGGAGCTTTAAGGAGATGAGGTTGGAGGACCACATACTAGGCAGGAAGGACATAGGAGTCTCCAAAAAGCTCTGCATAACCAGGGTTAAAATAAGAAATGTTATAGTTATATATTCACCTGTGTATGTTTACATAAATATATTATATATATTTATATAAAACCAGAGTATTTACACATAAACACACAAATATAAAATCCAAATTGTTTTTTTTTAAAGTGGGTCATATGCTTTATTTTGCAGAACTTCTGCCATTTTTATTTTGAAAGTCAGCTTCTTAAATGTATGAATAGGTACTGAATCTGGAGAATGGAAGTAATATATCTTATATAATAATAGTAGCAACAATCTCTTAGGTAGGTTGTGCAGAATAGTTAGCTTAAAGAGTTAACATCTACACTAAGAGTATATGTGTTTATTCATCGGAAACTGTACTATTCTAAGCACTTTCATTACATTTCCTCATTTTACCCTCACCACACCTGAGCTCAAACATGATTTTTATCCTTTTTGATGTAGATTGGAGAAAGGAATGGCAGACAGAGAAAAAGGTGGACCCATAGCTGGAGTCTACTGTGTGTGGGCTCCTCACTTCACGTCTCTCGATGTCTAAAGGGTCAGCTGTGTGTGAGGACCCTTCCCTGCTCATGAGAATGTGAGGCTCGCTCCACGCAATCACAGAGCCTCACAGCATGGCCTGATCCTATGGGAGGAGGAGGTTCAAACATCTGGCATAATTTTTTTTCCAAGTTACGCTTTAGTTACTTGCTAAATCTTTCTTATATCATATATACCTCTGAGTATTTTGAAGATGCCTATTGTTTCTTAAACCAGCGATGTTGATTCAATTCAGCTGTCTATGACAAAAACTCTACAATAAGGAGTTTGCTTTATCTTTCTTTCAATGAGTCACTGTTTGTGTTAGCAGAGGAGGGAGGTTCTGCAAATTTTCAGTACTTGTTGATAAATGGCATTATCATCAGGAAAGTTTATGAATTTGAACCGTGACAACCTTACTATCAGTTACCAATTCTTCTGGCCTATAGTTGTGAATTCTTAGTTTGTTTTGTGAATTTGTTATATGTCATTTATATACTCAAATCCCCAGACCCACGGGACTCAGGTTAGCACAATGAGCATACACAAATGTGAGTACTCACTAAACACTCATTACAAAGGGACGCGTTACACTGACTCCAAAACTCTCCTTGGTGGCCTAGGTGAAACCTCATGGCCAACATCACCAGGATGGCCAACCACACTGGAAGGTTGGATTTCATCCTCATGGGACTCTTCAGACAATCCAAACATCCAGCTCTACTTAGTGTGGTCATCTTTGTGGTTTTCCTGAAGGCGTTGTCTGGAAATGCTGTCCTGATCCTTCTGATACACTGTGACGCCCACCTCCACAGCCCCATGTACTTTTTCATCAGTCAATTGTCTCTCATGGACATGGCGTACATTTCTGTCACTGTGCCCAAGATGCTCCTGGACCAGGTCATGGGTGTGAATAAGGTCTCAGCCCCTGAGTGTGGGATGCAGATGTTCCTCTATCTGACACTAGCAGGTTCGGAATTTTTCCTTCTAGCCACCATGGCCTATGACCGCTACGTGGCCATCTGCCATCCTCTCCGTTACCCTGTCCTCATGAACCATAGGGTCTGTCTTTTCCTGGCATCGGGCTGCTGGTTCCTGGGCTCAGTGGATGGCTTCATGCTCACTCCCATCACCATGAGCTTCCCCTTCTGCAGATCCTGGGAGATTCATCATTTCTTCTGTGAAGTCCCTGCTGTAACGATCCTGTCCTGCTCAGACACCTCACTCTATGAGACCCTCATGTACCTATGCTGTGTCCTCATGCTCCTCATCCCTGTGACGATCATTTCAAGCTCCTATTTACTCATCCTCCTCACCGTCCACAGGATGAACTCAGCAGAGGGCCGGAAAAAGGCCTTTGCCACCTGCTCCTCCCACCTGACTGTGGTCATCCTCTTCTATGGGGCTGCCGTCTACACCTACATGCTCCCCAGCTCCTACCACACCCCTGAGAAGGACATGATGGTATCTGTCTTCTATACCATCCTCACTCCGGTGCTGAACCCTTTAATCTATAGTCTTAGGAATAAGGATGTCATGGGGGCTCTGAAGAAAATGTTAACTGTGAGATTCGTCCTTTAGGAAATTATAAAGTAGGAAATTTGGATATAAAGATTTATTTTCCTTTTCTCTACCCATCAGATACTTAGGATTTTATCCCTGTTATTCCTTAGACTCTCATACAATGATGCCTCATCTCATATTCATCTCATTTTGAGGAATTCTTTCACTGTGTGGAAACTCTATTTTATAGTCTTTGTCCATCCAAAATTCTTTTACAATTGTGTTATACTAATGTAACATTTTTGGAAGTTGATAACTGTTCTCTAATTTTGTGAAAAAATATTCTTAACCTCAGGAAATACTTAATATTTAGAGACAAAAAGGTCATGAGGTGTTCAAATGATGAGAGGGAAAGAGGGAGGGAGATAGAGAGGGGCAATGAAACAAACTGAGTTCAATGTTGCTGCCACACATGAGTATGGGTAAAGGGTATATAGGTATTAATTGTACTATTGTTTTTTAATGATTTTTGTGAAGTTGAAATCATTTACAAATAATTAAATACCAGGCTTTTCTCCCTTTTTGAAAATATTCTCCTTTCTGCTTGGTGGCAGTGTGACATCTTAGAAATCATGCTCATTTCATTATATCTAATCATTACCGAGAAAATCCAGTCATCGCCCCTTCTTTATTGAGGGCTACATTTTTCTGCATGGTCCAATTCTGATGGCGTCTAGTGGATTTATCTCTCCGAAATAATTACTGCCATGTGGTGTATTGAGGATGTAGGACCACATAAGTGACTGCAGAAAAAATATGACACCTGAGTGGAAGGAGTTTTAAGGAAGGTTACCTGCCCAGGGTGATTCCTGAGCTGAGATTTCAAACATGTAACTTGTTATACAAACAAGCAGAGGGATGGCATCAACATTCAATCCTTCATTTATTTAACAAGCATTTTGTACTATTTTATAATTAAAAATAGTTAAATAAGATTAAATTTTGAATAGCACATGGCTTTTACCAAGGAGTTTGAAAAATACATGTAGTTGTTTATGCAAACAAATGTAAGAAAATAAATAAGCTGTTTTGATACTCGTGTGAAGGGTGCAGCTCATAAGGACACACTAATTCTATCTGTGACATCTGAGTTCAAACAAGGAGCTGAGAGGAGACTCCGGGGCTCAGTGCTGAATAGTGACGAAAAGTTACCCTCAGATGAGTGTGTGATGTTGGAGCCAGGGGAACTTGCTGAGACACGCTGCAAGGGAAAAGGCACAGCATGAGCAAAGACAGGGCTGAGCAAGCGAGAGAGATCAATGCCCAGTAGATCTTTCTTATTTCATGTTAGGCTTATTTCTTGCCCTTGTGTGGCCCAGGGTTTTACAAACAATAGTGAAATGATCAGATTTGTATTTTAGAAATGTTATTTGTGTGGTGATCAATTGGAGATGTGCAAGACCAAAAACATAGAGACCAGGTACATGAGAATGGTGATCTAAATGATGTTGATCTAAGTGGAGTCGACCATGCCTTTACCCGAGAATAGGCTGATAGGAGGGCATTTGAGGTGGGGCCTGCTGAACCTGTTACCTAAAAGCATACATGTGGTAGCTGCATGCTATAACTTCCTAATTGGCTATGTACAACTTGCGAATAATCAGGTGTTTTCAACAGTACACATTCTTCTTTTCTCTCACCACACTCAATTATTTTATGACTATAATATAAAGATTCTGTAGTGCTTTGGAAAAATATGAGAGAACTAGTTTTTAATATTTTTCCTGAACTCAGACAATATAAAATGCATACTCTAACTTTGTATGAATTAAAGAGCATTTGTCAACTCTCAATTTGCTGGATTATAATTATAGACACATTTGATGGTTATCTTTAAAACATCCTTGTGAAAGGAAATGTAGCAAAATTTCATGAAAAATGATTTTTGTAGAGCTTTATTGTGCTAAAAATTGTTAGCTGCCTAAAATAACCTGTTATAATATGTTGGTAAGTCTCGTGGTAACTACAAAGCAAAAACCTGTAGTAGACATACAAAAATTTTTAAAAAACAAGGAATCAATGCATACCACTAGAAAAAACATCATTTAACCTTAAAAGAAGATAGTAAGAATGGAAGAAAAGAACAAAGTCTCTAGAAAACAACTGGAAAACTAACAAAATTGTAGCATTAAGTCCCTATGTATCAAAAATTATCTTAAATGTAAATGTATTAAATTATCCAATCAAAAGATATCTGGTGGCAGAATGTATAAAAAATGCCAACTACAACAGGTTACTTTAACCTGCAAGGACATATGCAGACGAAGTGAAGTGGTTGAAAAGGATATCCCATGCAAGTCGTAACCAGAAAAGAGCAGGAGTAGCTATGCTTATATCAGATAAAATAGACTGAAGTCCAGAACTGTAGAAAGAGACAAAGAAGATCATATATAATGATTAAAAAGTCAATTCAACAAAAAGTATATAATAATTGTGACTATGTATGAAACATTAACCTAAATACAATAAAGTATTAATAGATCTAAGGGGATAGATAGCAATAAAATAATACTAAGAAACTTCAACACCCCTCTTTCAGCCATGGAAAGACTATCCAGACAGGAGGTAAACAATGAAATAACAGCTTCAAGTTGCACTCTAGGGCAATGGACCTAAAAAGCATATGCAAAACATTTTATTCAGTAGCTGCAGAATACACATTATACTCGATTGCACATGAAACATTTTCTAGGTTAGATCACATGTTTGACCACAAAAAAGTCTTAAAGATAAGAAGTTCAAAATAATATCAATCATCTTTTCTGATCACAGCAGTTTATAAACGAATGCAAGAATTCTCAGAAAGTTTACAAATAAATGGTGATTAAATAATATGCTCCTAAACAATAGATGGGTCAATGAAAAAATTAAAAGGGAAAATAAAAGGTTGTTTGAGACAAATAAAAATGGAAAACTCAACATACCAAAACCTACAGGACACAGCAAAAGCAGTTCAAAGAGGAAGTTTATAGTTTATAGCAATGAATGGCTACATCAATAAAGAAGAAAGACTTCAAATAAGGAAAGGTAATATTGTACCTTAATTAACTAGAAAAACAAGAATAAGCTAAACTCAAAATTAGTAGATACATTAATATTGATTAGAGGAGAAATAAAAAAATGATAAAAACAATGCAAAACATCAGATGAGTTGTTTTGTGAAAAAACAAAATAAACTAGACTAAGAAGGTTCAAATCAGAAATTTACAAAGGAAATATTACAACTGAGGCCACAGAAATACAAAAGATTATGAAAGTATAATGAATAATTGCATGTCAAAAATTAGATAAGCTGGAAGACATGAATTGACTGATACATAAATCCTACGATAGTAAATCTTAGCAAACCAATAATGAATAATGCAGTGAAGTAGTAATAAAAGTCTCCCACCAGAAAAAAAAAAAAGCCCAGGACAATATGGACTCATTGCAAAATTCTATCAAAAATTTAAAGAACTAATACCAATTATTCTCAAACACTTCCAAAAAATTGAAGAAGTGGGAATACTTCCAAATTCATTATACAAGGCCAGAATTATCCTAATACCAAAGCCAGAGAAGGACATGGGAATGAAAAAGGAACTACAGGTCAATATCATTTGGGAACATGGATGTAAAATTCCTCAAAAAATGCTAGCAAACTGAATTTAAAAGCACATTTCAAAAAGCATTCATCATGATAAAATGGGATTCATCCCAGGGATGCAAGGATGCTTCAACAGATGCCAATTAATAAACATCACATAGCACATTAACAGAATGAATGATACAATTTTATGATTATTTAGGTGGAGAGAAGCATTTGACAAAATTCCAAAACTCTCAACAAATTAGGTATACAAGGAATGTATCTCACCATAACAAAGGCCATATATGATAAGCCTACAGCTGACATAATACTTAATGATGAAATGTTGAAAGCTTTTTCTCTAAGATCCAGCAAAAGACCAGAACGGTCACTCTTGCCACTTTTATGTAACATAGCACTGAAAGTCCCAGCTAAAGCAATTAGGGAAGAAAAATAAATAGAAATGTAAATAGGAAAGGAAGAAGTGACATGTTTCTGTTTGTTAATAAAGTAATATTACATATAAAAAAACATAAAGCCTTCAACAAAAACTATTCCCTAACAAATTCAGGAAAGTTTCAGGAAATCAACAGACAGAAATTGGAGTTTCTATACTCTAACAGCAAACTGTATCTTTAAAAAGTTAAGAAAGACTCATAGAGAGGAGTTATAGCAACAAGATAGATGAATAGAAGATCCTCCAGCATCATTCATCCACACCCACAAAAATAGAACTGGAAACTATTCAAAAACAATAACATCCTGAATTCCCATGAATTCAGGAGAGAAAAAAGAGAAGCTGTGTCTGGTCTTAGAGCAATTAGGTAAAAGAAGGAAACAAAGGCCTCCAAATTGGAAAGAAGGAACTGAAATTTTCCCTGTTTACAGATGACATGGTCATATATTAAAAAAATCCTAACGACACCAGCAAAAACTGTGAGAACTGATAAATGAATTCAGTAAATTTGCAAGATACAAAATCAACATACAAAATTAGCATTTATATAGGCCAACAGTGAGCAATCTGAAAGAGAAATAAGGCAATCCCATTTACAAAAACTAAAGTAAATACAAAATAACTAGGAATAAATTTAGCCAAAGTAAAAGATCTCTTCAAGAAAAACTATACAACTCTAATGAAAGAAATTGAAGAGATCACAAATAAATGGAAAGATTCCCCATGTTCGTGGATTAGAAGAATTGATATCATTAAAATGTCCATCTACCAAAAGAGAGCTACAGAATTAAAGCAATCACTATCCGAATACAAAAGATATTCTTCAGAGATAGAAAAAAACAATCCTAAAGTTCATATGGAAGCAAAAAAGACTCCAAATAGCCAATGCAATTCTGAGCAAAATGAATGAATATGTAGGCATCATACTACCCGATATACTACAAGCTATTAAACATCAAAAGAGAATGGTACTGGCATAAAAGCAGACACACAAACAGAAGAGAACCCCTGAGAGCCCAGATATAAATTCACTCATTTATAGTCAACTGATGTTTGACCAAGTTGAAAAGAACATACACCAAGAAAAGCACTACTTCCTCAATAAATGGTGATGCAAAAAATGCATATCCAAATACAGAATGAAACTAGACACTTATTTCACTATTTTAAACTCAAATTGGATTAAAGACTTTAATATCAGATCTTAAACTGTAAAACTTCTGGTAGAAAACACAGGCAGAATGCATCATCACTACATTGATCTGGGCAAGAATTTTTAAAGTAGAACCTCAAAATCACAGGGAAAAAATAAAAAATTAAAAAATGAGATTACATCATACTGAAAGGTTCTGCACAATAACGAAAACAATTCACAGAGTGAATAGATAACATACGAGTGGGAGAAAAGATTTGCCAACAATGCATTTGACAAGGGGTTCATATCCAGAATATATAAAGAACTCAAGTAACTGAGTACCAAAATTATCTCACAAATAATTTGATTTTAAAAATGGGCAAAAGACATCGAAAAACATATTTCAAAAGAAGACATACAAATGGCTAGCACGTATATGACAAAGTGCTCAACATCACTAATCATCAGGGAAAGGCAAACTGCAATGTCTTGGATGGGCATGGTATCTTTCACTTTGAAACTGGAGTCCTGCAGGCCATTTTGAATATTGTCCATGTTTCCTAACACACCCAAGTTGGCAGAAGACCCCCTATTTAGGGCTAATACCTGCTGTTTATGCTCAAATAGGCCCAGGCAATACAAGTTTTGGCTATGACTCCAGTTATGTATATTTGTGGAAGAAACAATAGATGGGTATAAAATAAAGTATGGTAGAGTGAAATCATCATACCTGTACAGGAATGTAAATTTGGAGGTCATTTTTCTTATCAGGACACATCACACGGGGAATGTGTTTCTTTAGTAAATGTTGTGTACTCCTTTAGATATATTTATAACAAACCAATGATGCATGGCATCAGGATAAGTTTAGAAATAATTACTAAATGAGATTCCATAGGGTAGAGACAAGAAATTAGATTTTGCCTATGTTCAAGTGGGAGAATACCCATTTCAAATACCCAAGATTATAGAAGAAGGAATGAAAAGGTTTCAACTTTAAGCTGCTGAGGGAAGCTTGAAAAGAATTTAGTCTGACATTTGATATTCTTTATAACCATGTGACTAATTACTCAGATGGTACTTAGGAATTAAGAAAAGTCATTAACCTACAAAAAGCCCGAAGTATAAGAAAACACAGTTAAAGGTGTGTTTTTTAATTGTCTTTGCTGGATTCGGTTAGTTCAATAGCCTTGTCTTCAAGCTCTGAACTTGTTTCTTCTACTTGTTTGATTCTATTTCTGAGATTTTCCAGTGTATTTTGCATTTTTCTAGTGTGTTCTTGATTTCCAGCAGTTGTGATTGTTTTTTATTTATGCTATCTGTTTCTCCGGAGATTTTTCCATTCATGTCCTGTAACACATTTTTAAATTTAAGTTGGTATTCACCTTTCTCTGGTACTTTGTTGAGTAGCTTAATAATTGACCTTCTTAATTCTTTTTCTGGCAATTCAGAAATTTCTCCTTTGTTTGAATCCATTGCTGGTGAGCTAGTGTGATCTTTTGGGGGTGTCAGAAAATCTTGTTTTGTCATATTTTCAGAATGGTTTTCCTGGATTTTTCTCATTTGGGTAGACTATGTGAGAGGGAAGTTCTGGGGCTAAAGGGCTGCTGTTGAGATTCTTTTGTCCCATGGGGTGCTCCCTTGATGTGGTGCTCTACCCCTTCTTCTAGGGATGGGGGTTCCTGAGAAACAAAGTGCAGAGATTGTTATTTCTCTTCCACATCTAACCACCCAGCGAAGCTACTGTGCTCTGGTACTGGCTGGTACCGGAGAGTGTCTGCAAAGAGTCTTGTGGTATGATCTGTCTTCAGGTCTCTCAGCCATGGATACCAGCACATGCTGTGGTGGAGGGAGCAGGGGAGTGAAGTGGACTCTGTGAGGGTCCTTGGCTGTATTTTTGATAAGTTTGCTGGTTGGTCTCCAGCCAGCAGTTGATTCTTTCAAGAGTTGCATCAGCTGCAGTAGTGTAGGGAAGATACGAGCTTGCCTTAGGGTTACCTGGATAAGTATCCAGATTTCTCAGGCAATGGGCCGGGCCTCAGAGCTCCCATGAGATTATGTCCTTTGTCTTTGGCTCCCAGGGTGGGTAGAGAAAGGCCAAGAGGTGGGGGCAGTGTTAGGCGTGTCTGAGCTGAGACTCTCCTTGGGCGGGGCTTGCTGTGTGGCTGCTGTGTGGGATTGGGGTGTGGTCCTCAGACTGATGGAGTTATGTTTCCACGGGGATTATGAGTGCCTCTGCTGGGTCATGCAGGTCACCAGAGAAGGGGGGGAACGGGCAGTTACATGCTTCACTCAGCTCCCAGGCAGCCCAAAAGGCCAGTCTCACTCCCACCTTGTGCCCCCAGTAGCACTGAGTTTTTTCCAGGCAGCTGGTGAGCAGGGCTGAGAACTTGCCCCAGGCTACAAGCCCCTCATGAAGAAAGCAAGCAGGGCTTTTAGGTTTCATGCCTCTCTGCCTGCCTCAGCTTCTGAGCTTGTATCTGCACTCCCAGTTTGCCCCCTCCCCCAGGTTCTGTCCAGGAAGCTTCACGTTAGTCAAGATTATTACAAAATTCATCTGAAAGCTTGCTTCTCCTTGTAGTCTTTCCCCAATTCCACTGGCAGCCCTCCCAAAGGACCCCTGCAAGACAAAGTCCGAAATGGTTTCCCACAGGGCTCTTCTTGTTGTTTCCTCTACTCGAATATTTTGCTTGGCTCTCTAAATTCCTCTTAGCTCCGCGTAAGATTAAATCCTTTTCCCACCATGTGGACCGTCAGGTTCCCCAGTGAGGATCTGTGTTTGGGGGTGGAGCATCCCCCTTTTACACTTTCACACATTTTGGCACTCAGTTTTTGGCACGGAGCCTACAGTGGCCGCCACCTCCTTCAAAGGGTCTTTGGATTCTCTTGGCTTTCCTGGTATGTCCTATGGTAGTTCTTGGAGCAAAAGTTCACAGCGTGAATCTCCACATGCTGCTCTGTCCATCCAAGTGGGAGCTGCACGTTAGTCCTGCCTCCTATCTGCCATCTTCCTCTTCTGGAGTCCACGAAAAGGATTATAAACAAACTATTTTGTTGGGAGTAATAATGTGGTCCTGGCCTAGTGTGAAGTGAAGCTCACTCCAGGCCACTTCTCTCAAGCTGTGTTAATTTGTACCCTTCAGCAGTTTATGAGAGGTTCATTTCCATAGGCCCCCACATCTACAACTAGGGGATTTCATATATCTAATCTGAGCAGGGACATTGGTTCTACATGGAGACAGTCCAGAGATGAGCTGTGCTTGAGGCCTCACCTGTAGGTGGTAGGGTCTAGACCGGGAGACAGGCATTGGCCAACAGAAAGTAAAGGACACAAAGTGATGTCCTTCTCCACTCACTTCAGCTTTTCTTCAACACTATTTCAGATGCTTCCTTCCTGGCTTAGCTCTTCATTCAAGGTGAGATATTATGGGAACAGGATTGTGGGGGCAGGTGGCCCCAGGTATGGAGACTAAGGGGAGGTGTACATGGCAAGAGAGAAGCCAGAATATGGGGATGAGAAAGGAACAAGCTGTCTGTGGTAGTCATCCATGATTGAGATGATGTGTGGACCCTGAGTCAGACTACCTGGTTCAAATGCAGGCTCTCTACTTTTTACCCATTTGATCTTGGCCTGTGGCTCTCTACTTCTTATCCATTTCATCTTGGACTTGTGGCCTCTCATACCTCATCTTCCTTACAGTCCTCCATATGAAATCCCCCTAAAGTAGGAACAAAGCTTTGGCCAACTGCTCCTCCCATCTTTCCGTGGTCTTTACTTAGGAACTGTGTGTTTAATATACGTGACACAGGGTTTCTCCCACATCCCTGAGCAGAAACAAGCTGTGTCTGTATTTTGCACTGTACTCACCCCCATGCTAAACCCCCTCATCTACATCCTGAGAAACAAGGATGTGGTGGGGCTCTTCAGAAAGTTCTGGGAACACATCAAGTCTCTAAACAGAACACATAAATATCAATGTGGAAAACAACGGTAGAGGACCAAGATGCAAAGACTTCAGGAGCATCTCATTTTCCAGCATGAGGAATGTTGCTCCATCGTATGAGAAAACCATTTGGTTCAATTTAATTTGAAATATTAATTTGCTCATAAAAAGCTTAAGGGCTGGGTGCGGGGGCTCATGCCTGTAATCCCAGCACTTTGAGAGGTCTAGGCTGGCAGATCATTTAAGGTCAGGAGTTTGAAACCAGCCTGGCCAACATCATGAAGCCCTTTCTCTACTAAAAATAGAAAACTTAGCCAGGCACGGTGGTAGGTACCTGCAACCCCAGCTACTTGGGAGGCTGATGTGGGAGAATCACTTGAGCCCGGGAGGCGGAGGTTGCAGTGAGCAGAGATCTCACCACTGCACTGCAGCCTGGGACACAGAGCAAGACTCTGTCTCAAAAATAAATAAATAAATAAATAAATAATGAAAAGCTTAAGAACTTTTTATCTAGTTTCTAACCATTGTTTCAAAATGGCTGAACTCAACTGTGTTTCTCCTTGAAGCTAGATGATAAGCATAGACAAAGTTCCAGTCTTCTCTCTTTTTACCTGCTTTAGCTATTTCTCAGTATCCTTTGAAGCTCAACTCTGTCCAGGTATTGCTAATCTCCATTGTTGTAAGCATCAGCTTCCTAGGAAAGACAAAAGTGTGATTTCTCAGGGGCAATAATAACACAATAGATTTTCTTTTCTCTTGATTGCTCTGGAAATCCCAACATGTTGGTTCTATTCTCTTATCCTGTCTCGGGTGGAAACTTCTGGTGATTCTCAGATAAGCAATAACTCAGCTGATATATAATACAAGAAGATTTTCTCTTCTATAATAAATACAGCAAGCCTTGAGTAATAGTACGTAATCTGTGGGTGAGCAAGGAACAATAGGCTTCTCTCTTGACTTTGTAAGTTCCTCCCATTCTCACTAGCTCTAGATGCTTACTCTTCCTTGAGTCAGTGCAGGTGGAACTCAGGGGATAGAGTGGAAGTAGGGGCTAGAAAAGCCCTACCTACCTTCCACCAATACAGAGAAGCTTCCCTTCAATTTTTGGTGGTTTGATTATAATATGTCTTAGGGGTAGTTTTGTTTGGATTGAATCTGATTGGTTACTTTTTACCTCACTGTACCTGGTTATTTATATCTTTTTCCAGGTTTGAAAAGTTTTCTATTATTTCTTCATATAAGCTTTCTACTCCTTTATCATTTCAACTCCCTTATCTCCAATGACTCAAAAATTTGCTGTTTTGTTGCTGTCCAGTAAATCTCATGTTTCCTTTATTATTTTTCATTCTTTTCTCTTCTCTATTTTCATATAACCTGTATTTGAGTTCACAGATTCATTGGCTTGATCCATTCTGCTGTTGATGGTCTCAACTGCAGTTTACATTTTGTTCATTATATTTTGCAGCTTTAGAATTTGTTTGATTTTTAAGTTATTCCAATATTTGCTAAGTTTATCATTGTGGTCATATTATTTTTATCGTTTGTTTGAATAGTTTCTGTGTATTTTCTTGAAGTTTGCTGAGCTTCCCTAAGACTGTTATTTCAAATGCTTTGTCAGGTAGTTTATGCATCTCCATTTGTTTGCTTGGTGATGTATGCTTCCTTGATTTCTCTTGCGTCTGCAGTCATGCATCTAATATAATAGGTACTTATTCCAGTCTTTGCAGACTTGTTTTATCCTGAAACATTCTTCAATAGTAAGCCTGTCTAGAGATTCTGAGCAGGTTGTCTGGTGTGGTCCCTAAGCTCTAGTTTGCTGTGGTGGGGGCAGCCCTAGGTGGTGCCCTAAGCCTGGGACTGCCACGACTGGTGCAGTGCAGTGCTGTAATCCCATGGCCACTGGAACTGGTGTGGGTCCCAGATGATATCCTGTGGCCACTGGGGCTGGTGCAGCACTGATGCAAGTCTGAAGCCCATGTTCACTGAGGCCTGCCTGCCAGTGGATACTTTCCAGAGCTTAAGGCCACTCTGGGTGGGTGGCAGTGATGATGACTGCAAATTAATTCTGCTTTGCATGGGCTGCAGGTTTCTGCCTAGTGTTGGTGTAGATCTGGAGGCTCGGTCTTTGTGTACTGGCCTGGAGTCAGTGGTTGTGGGGGCTGCCTGGTTTTCAGTTCTTCTGTGGTGGGCCTAGTGTTGGGCACCAAGACCAAGTCCCACACTTACTTCCGTTTTTATTCTCCAAGTGTTTGGTATTTCTCCCTGCACTGTGCTGTCTGAGGTTGGGGATAAAAAATGCAGGTAATCAAAACTCTCCTTCCTGCCCTCTTCAATGCTTCTAATCTTATTATTTTATAACAAGATGAAAATTGTATCACCAGGTTCTATGATCTCTCACATGCCTTTACTAGCTTTTGTGAAGGTATGTTGTGTAAGAATAGTTATTAAAATTGATGTTTCTATGGGGATACAATTGTTAAAGAATTCCGTTCTGCCAGCTTTCCCACTCTCCTCTCTTTTCACTTTTTTGATTGAGACCTTTGAAGCACAAAAATTTTGAAGTTAGATGAGGTCCAATTATTTATTTTCTTATTGCTCGTTCTTTCGGTATCATGCTAAAAAAAATGCTAAACTTAAGGTCTTGAATATTTAACCTTATCTTTTCTCATATTTTTATAATTTTACTTCTTATGTTTAGGTCCCTGATCAATTTGAGTTTAAGTATGATTTGTAATGCCACTTCATTCTTTTGTTTGTGGATATCTTCTTGTCTGAGCACAATTTGTTAAAGTGAGTATTCTTTTCCCATTGAATGGACGTGGCATGCTTGTCAGATGATTATTGACCATAGACACATGCGTGTATTTCTCATTAGATTCTCAATTGTCTTCTATTTATTTATGCATATATCCTTATTCTGTTATCAGGCTTTTAAAATTAGTGTATCTTTTTGGCAAATTTTGTACTCAGGAAGTGTAAATCTTCCAACTTTGTTTTTCTATTCAAGGTTGTTTTGGATTTTGCAGTCGCTCGTAATTTCATATGATTTTTAGTGTTTTCTACTCTTGCAAAAAAAAAAAGCCATGGAATTTTTATAGGCATTGTATTGAACCTGTGGATATATTTTGGTTGTATTATCTTAACCACAAGTCTCCCAATCCATTAACATGCGATGTTGTTTCATCGGTTTATGTTTTATTTGCTATTAGCAGTACTTTGTAATTTTCAGTGTGTTAGTTGTTTAACACTACTTTAAGTTTCTTCTTGAGTAAGTGTTGGTAGTTTCTGTGTTTCCAGGATTTGGTTTTCATCTCACTGAAGGTATCTAGTTAGTATTCAATTATTTGTAATATTCTCTTATAATTGCTTGTGTTTCTGAAAGGCTAGTTGTTATGTACCCATGTTATATTCATATTTATGTATTCATGATGTAAGACTTCTCTCTTTCTCTCTTTGGTAAGTTTACCTAAAGTTTTCTATATTTTGTTGATCTTTTGAAAGCTCGAAATAGTCAAATTGTTTTTTCTATTCTGCATTTTATTAATCTCTATTCCAATACTTTTTTTTCCTTCTGTTTGCTTTGTATTGAGTCTGCTCTTCTTTTTCTAGTTCCTTAAGGTGTAAAAATATATTATTGTTTTTAGATGTTTCTTCTTTTTTTGAGTATAGGCAATCTAGCTAAAATTTTCCTTCTAAGAGTTGCTTTAGCTGCATCCTATATGTTTTGTTATGTTTTAAGTCATCTGAATATATTTTCTAACTTCATTTCCAATTTCTTTTTTGACCCACCGGTGCTTCACAGTGTGGTGTTTAATCCCCACATATGTGTAACTTTTGTAGTTCTCCCTCTATTTCAGATTTCCAGTTTTATTTCATTGATTGGAAAAGATACTTTGAATTAAATCTTTTAAAATTTAGTCTTATTTGTTTTTGGCAATTTATCCTGGAGAATGTGTTATTAGTACTTGAGAAGCATCTATACTCTGCTATTTCAGTATTCTCCACATATATATTAGGTCATTTGGTTTATAGTGCTGTTCTAGTCACTTACTACTATATTAACATTCTGTCTAAGTGCACTATGCATTATTGAAAATGGACATTTAAGTATTGAACTATAAGTACAGAACTGTTTATTTCTTCCTTTAATTCTGTCCACCTTGGCTTCATATATTTTGGGTCTCTGTTACATTCATTCATGTTTACAATTTTTATATCTAAAGATCTATATTACATTCTCCAAGGAAGATACACAAATGATCCCAAACAGTATACGATTTTTTTTTTACTTATAAAAATTTTTGTCATAAACTCACTTTGTCTCACATTAACATAGCCACTCTGGCTATCTTTCGGTTACCAACTGCACGAAGTATCTGTTTATCTTCATGTATAGTATATGATAAAATGTTATATTCACAGATAAAACAATTTAAAGTATAAAATTATGATTCAATATGCTTTTTAATTTCCTTGAACACTTTCTTTTCTTCTAAATCTATTTTCTTTATTCCTTTATAGTTTATTATTTTCATATGCTTAATAAATTCAGGAATGACAAAGTTGAAATACAACCAACTACATAGAAGTACAAAAAACCCTAAGGGACTATTATGAACACCTCTCTGCAGACAAACTAGAAAACCTAGAAGAAATATATAAATCCCTCGAAACAAGGAATTTATCTATTTCTCCACCCAAGATTATTTAACCTCCTGACATTAAGCCAGGAAGAAATTGAAATCCTGAACAGACCAATAATGGGTTCTGAAATTAAGTCAGTGATTAAAAAAAACCTACCAACCAAAACAAGCCCTGGACCAGATGGATTAACAACCAACTCCTACCAGACATATAAATAAGAGTTGGTACAAAATCTTCTGAAATTATTTTAAAAATTGAGAAGGGAATACTCTCTAAGTCATTCTGTGAAGCCAGCATCATTCTGATACCAAAATTAGGCACAAATACGACAAAAAAAAGTAAAGTTCGGGCCAACATTCCTGAGGAATATAGACACACAATCCTCCACGAAATACCAGCAAACCAAATCCAGCAGCACATCAAAAAGTGAATTCACCACGATCAAGTAGGCTTTATTTCTGGGATGCAAGGTTGGTTCAACAAGTGCAAATCAGTAAATGTGATTCACCACATAAACATAATTAAATACAAAAACCACATGATCATCTCAATAGAAGCAAAATGATTTTTCATAACATTCAGCATCCTTTCTTGTTAAAAACCCTCAATATACTGGGCACCAAATGAACTTATCTCAAAAAAATAAGAGCCATCTATGACACACCCACAGCCACCATCATACTAAACAAGTAAAATCTGGAAGCATTCCTCTTGAGAACTGGAACAATTTGAACAATTCAGTTTTCAATTTCTCATCAAAAATTGTGTTGACATGATTGATTGAAGTATTTTATCCCCCTTTCTCCCAAATACCAGGCCACAGACAGCATGAAATATTTTAAATAAACATTAAAATAAATAAGTCCAGATTGGTCATTAAATCGAGTATTTTTTTTTATTGTATAAACTCAAGATGTACAACATGTTTTGATGTAGATATCTATAGTGAAATAATTACCACATGCTAGCAAATTAACACATCCATCACTGTCTGCAGTTTACTTTTTTGTGATAAAAACACATATAATCTAGTTATTCTCTTAGCAAATTTGTAATGTATAATAAAATAGAACTATAGTCCTTCTGTTGTACATTAGATCTCTAAATATCTTTATGTTACATAACTGTAATTTTGTCTTCTTTTACCTACATTATCCCAATTTGTCTACTTCCCTGACTCTGGCAACTGCCCTTCAACTCCCTATTTATCTTACTCAATTTCCATTTATTTTACACATAAATGAGCTCATGCTGCATTTTTCTTTCTGTGCCTGACTTGTTTCACTTGGCATATTGTACTCCATACTTTAAAATTTATTAAGCTTAAAGAATTAAACAAGTAAGCTCTAGTTGCCTAAGAAGTTAATGTACCCAGAAATATAAATTTCTGAACAATCATGGAAAATGTGTTACAACTATATCTTCTTTCAAGTAGGTCTTGTAAATATTTTCTGTATTAATACTGACTATGCTCTCGTTTGGTTGTCATTCTATTCTGAGTTTTTAACCCTCTTGTTTAACCCAATCTCTCCTCCTCAAAAATGAATAAATGCATTGACTCAAGAAACACTTATTTTTGAGCGTCTGTTTTGGAATAGGTGCTATATTTTAGGCATTGGAAAGACACTAGTGATAAAAATGGTAAAATGCTTTATCTCCTGGATCTTACATTCTATGGTAGAGAAGAGATAATAATCGCAAAAAAACTATCAGGAATGATAAACATTATAAAGAAGAGTAAAATAGGGTGTGTAGGAGATAATTACTGTTTTATATTCACTGCTCAGAGATGTCTTCTCTGATAATCAAGAGAGCAGAGAAGAGAGACCTAAATCAGTTGAAGAAATGGGTCACAACGTATCGGAAAAGAGACCACCAGGCAGAGAGAATAGTAATCTTTTTTTCTTTATTCAGTGTATTAAATGCATTGTGTTTATTGATATACCCCATTAGTTTAATCATATTCCCTCACACTTTGTTATTACCTTTATTTTAATTGCCATTTTTAAATTTTTGTGATGAACAAATAAAATTGTATATATTTATCATGTACAATGTGATATTTTAAAATATGTATATTGTGTGGAATGGGTAAATTGAGGTAATTAACATATGCATCACCTCACATACTTATAATTCTTTGCAGTAAGAAGACAAAATCAACTCTTTGCCTTTATTTCAAAATTATTTCATTGTGTGGTATTTAATATTTTCTATTTAACAAAATGTGTATATTATGTACAAATACCTATGCATAAAACATATTTTATAAGACTAAAATATCCTTAATTTCCCTCTCTTTACACAGTATCTACTAGTTTCCTAGCATAAGGAAGAACAGAAAATATTTCAGAAGATATGTCTATTCTCCTTTCCTTCATCATTCAATTGTAGCCAATATGTTTACACTAGTGCTTATCACTATTTCTTTACACTTGCTTTTATATTTTCTCCATCATCTTTATTATTTTACAATCACTCACAAGCCACGGAGCAGCCATTCAGCTTCGTCCCCATCACTCCCTTTAAATTCTCTCCTGACTCAGGGTGATTCCCATTTCACATCTTTCTGTTGGCCGATTGTCGTCTCTTTTTAGTGGGTCATCAGTTCTCTGAACCGTCATATTTCTGTTTTAAAATGTTTTCTCATTTATAAAACTGCTTTATTAAGGATTTGGGGTTGTAGAGTATTTGAAGTTTATATCAGTATTTAGCTCCGATTTAAGGCAATAATTTTGGGGTAGATTTATTTTTTTTCTATAGTATTTTTGGAAAGACGTTGCATTTTCTAATTTCATTTTTCAGAATTTGATTTGCCTTTCCAGTTGTTACCAGGTGGATTGCATAGGGCTTGCAGGCATTGGGGAATATTCTTGTTTCTCAAGCCCTACAGCTTCATTGTATGCATTCCTGCTGTCTTCTCCATGTTCATTTCTACCACCTTCCTATTCGTGGTTATGCCTGGGATGGTGACCCCCTTAGTTTAGGCAAGATTGTCCTGTTATCTCCACCACTTCTTTCCCAGGTATACTCCCTGCATCTATCTCTTCAATAATCCTCAGATTGCTACCTGGCTCCGTGTTCATCAGGCTTGGGTATAGCAGTTTACACTTGTGAGAGGACCCTCTCCTTCTTGGGGAATAATATTTCCTGGTATTTTTTATCATTACCACCACCAGTGACCTTGACTGGGTCTCTTCTCTGCCGGACTTCCTGCTTCCAATATGGAGTTTCTGTACCAATTCTGATGAGTGTCCGTGACTTTCTTCCCCTTCCTTACGTGTAATTTATAGTTGATGGATTGCCTTTGTCTCCTGATTTCAGTGAAGGAATCATTTGTGCTTTTTTCATTTTTTTTGTCTTGGATGTTTATTATATCATTGGAGAATTAAAGTAGGATAAAAAGATTGGAAGACTATCTAAAAGTTTGTATCAGCAACTAGGACTCCCTTATGTATGTTTGAACAGTTTTGTTCTGTTTGCTTTTGTGAGAAATGAGATGAATTGATGTGCAAAGTGTTATTAGTTAGGGTGCCTCAATATAGGCCCAGGAAACATTGGAACACCAAAATGGATGGAGCAGACATGAGCAGAACACAAAAAAGAAATAAACAGCAATATGATAATAGTAGGGGATTATAATACCCCACTCTCAACACTCATAAACAACAAATGGACCCAAAAATAAAGACAATTTAAAAATATCCTGAGACAAACAAAAATGGACAAATAACATACCAAATCATGGGGTACAGCAAAAGTAGTTCTGATAGCTACTGAGACAGAGAGAGAAATGATCCCAAATAAGCAACCTAACTTGGCACTCTGGGAATTAGAAAAGAAGAAAAAAGCCAAAAGTTAGAAGAAAGAAGAAAGTTATAAAGGTTAGAGCAGAATTAAACAGATAAGAAAGACAAAAGAAAAGATCAGTAACACGAGGAGTTGGTTCTGTAAAAACGTGAGGAAAATTGGCAAACCTTTAGGTAGACAAACCAAGAAAACTAAGAGAGATGACTCAAATAAAACTATAAGTAAAGCAGGAGAAATTAGTCAATACTACCAAAATACAAAGGGTCATAAGAGATTATCATGACCAATTATGTCAATAAATTGAGTAACGTAGAAGAAATGGATAAATTCTTAGACATGTATGTCCTGAAGAAAGAATAAACCTGAACAAATTAATAACTAGTACAGAGATTAAATCACCAATAATAATAATAATAAACTTAAAAGTTCAGGACTTGATGCTTTTACTGGTGATTGCTACCAAATATCTAAAGACAGATTAATGCTATTCTCAAACTTTTCCAAACAATTAAAAAGGGTGCACTTTCCAACACATTTTTTCATGCATTACCCTAACACCAATGTCAGACAAGGACGGTATAAGAAAATTACAGGCCAATTTATTTTATGATCATGGATGTAAAGATTCTCAACACTAGCAAACTGAATTCAATATGTTCAAAAGATCATTTAGTTGAATGTTTTCTTTCTTCTGAAATTCTTCATTTTGCTTCCAAATGTCATTTTTCCTTATATTTTATTTTTTCATTAATCAAATTTAATTTTAAAATTTCCAACTAAAAAAATCTGTGGGTTTAATAAACATATTTTTAATTAACATTTAAAAAAAGCACAAGTTTGTAAATTGTATATTTTCTGTCCATTAGATTTTGGTTTGAGTATTGGGCCAATTGCACGGTAAGCTTTTTAATTTTTTTCCAGAAGTAATCCCAGGACCTTAAATCTCCACTGAAACTCTCGAAGTTTAATTGGTCAGCTGGGATTGTAGTCCCTGGGGTGTTGAAAGCATAAATAAGCCATACCTTAAGTCTGGACCATTTATCCCTGTAGGGAGTCCCTCTTCTCCTCTGTTCTCTTTCAGAACTACTTATTACTTTAGGTTCAGTGTATGTAGCATATGGTGACTCTATGGGTTTCAGTTTTCTGAACCCCAAATATGCAAAAATATAGAAAAAGCAGACCAGGCATCCCACCTTCTGTGTGCCACTAAGGGAGCATCTCTTCCTCTTTCTCCCCTAATAAGTTGTATATTATTTTCTCAGTATTTTAATTTTTTGCTATTTATATTATCTGAGATTTATCATTGGAATCATACAAATATTAAACCAGGAAAGATCACCCAGGAAGAAATTGAGATCACCCACAATATCAGGTATTCTAAAACATGTTATATGAAAATTGTAATAATTAAAACATGAATCACAAATCTTGCAGGTAGAAATGTCAACATATTAATTTTTTTGAGGAAGAGCAACTTGGATGAATATATGGATGTAAACTTGCTGATCAACTACAGCCAAAAATTACATTGTAATTGTAACGTGTCCCTAAACTTGACCCATTACCAATCCTGATAAGTCTGTGCTTAGGATTATGTAGATTTTCAAAGGATTGAAATGTAGTTGCCTTTTCCAAATCTTGACTAGCTTGTCTGACAAGGTAGGATCATGTCAAGTAGATTGGACTGAGGTGATCCCTTTATTTTAAAGAGCAGTCTTTGGCAAACACTGATACTAGAAACTGATATGATTTTGCTCTTGTTGAAGAATTTTACTTATTATAAATGTTTTTTAAAAACAAGGGAAGGAAACATAATCTTAAAACCACTCATTTGTGTCCATCCACATTATACTGTAGAGAAGACTGACTTTTTTTTCAGGTGATTATTGTAGCAAAACATTTTAAGTTTTATTGAGATCGTTTGTCATGTCTAAATTTGTTCATCATAATATATCCTGAGCTTAGTTCAGTGCCTGGCTCATGATAAATTTTATTTATTTAGTGTGGTGAGAGCACTTAACAGGAAATTTACCCTCTTACACTTTTTCAGTGCACGATTCAGTACTGTGAACTCCAGGCACGGTGCTGCACAGCCAATCTCTAGGACTTCATCTTGTGTCACTGAAACCTTATACCCATTGCACAGTAGATCAAGAGAAGAAATACTTGATACACGGCACAAGACCTATAGAACACGCAGGGAAAACTTCTTCTGGCATCAGAAAACCTGTTCATTGCTGAGTTCATTCATTATATTCACCTCCTTACACCACAATGCTAACCCATGAATCTAACTGGCTGTGACAAAACTGTCTTTCATAAACCTACAGACTTTAAGATTTATGGAAAGAGAAAGACCTGTGGCATCCTAGAATTCTAACATCCACTCTTGGATCATCATGACCACTTAGCAGAGCTTTGCATTGAATTCCAGATAAAGAATATCAAACTCAAGGATATAGCAGCTCTTGAATAATGGGAAAGATAAATGAAGTGTTTGGCAAGTAGAAAGATAATCATGAAGTTCAGTCATTAAAGTCTCGCCCTGAACAAATGCCATGGACTTGACATCATAAAAAACATAAAATAGGTATAAGTCAAAAATGTTTATTTTGGGAAATTATATTTAAATCAAAATCAAAAATATACTCATCTGAAAGACAACAGAAAGTTCTGTCACCAAGGGAAATAAAACTCTAATTACCAAAACAAAATGTAAACAAAATAAAACTTACATAAATATATACATTCATGCATTCAAAAGAAGTTGCATAGAATTTTATTTAGCCATATCTCAGTATTTTGGAATTTTGCAAACACCAAGAGTCGCAATAATAATACATAATCTTCGTCTCTCACTCTGTTATTTTTTCCTCAAGCTTGGGAAAGATAATGTGTGAGTGGATAGAGTGATTCTGGGGATCGGGATGAGACAATTCTGCTTAAGGCAACTTCTCTTAGGATGGCAGGAGGTAGCAAGAGAAGAAAGGGCAGAATAACCATTACAGTTTACACCATATTTATAGCTATAATGCCTTAATATAATATGAAGTAATTACTTTCAATTACTTTTTAATAACAGAGATATATACAATATATATTCTTTAAAATGGTTATCTAAAAGTTTAAGAAATTAAAAAACCTTAATCTTAGAAATTATCTAGAAATTTAAATTTCTGAATTATAGGTAAATGTGTTATGATTTTCTTTTTTCAAATAAGCCTTACAAATATTTTCAATATTGATATTGTTTCATTTTAAATGTGCCACTAACATGATGCTGTCATTTCATTGTCATTCTAGCAGTAAGGATTCTGAGTCCTTAGCACTCTGTTTGACCCAGCCTCTCCTTCCAGGAAATGACTAAATATACTCATTCAGAGCATATTTATTTTTGAGCATCTACTTTGGGGCTACCACTGTGTTAGGCTTTCAGCACACAGCAGTGATAAAAATGAGCAAAATGTCTCATCTTATTAATATGACACTATATTGTGGAAAAGAGAAACAATTGTAAAAAATATGTTCAAGATTGTTAATTTTATGAAGAAAAATAAGACAGCATAAGGGACAGATCAGTCATTTTTATTCATTGGTCATTGAAATCTTTTCTGATAATCGAATAGCACAGAAGAGACCTAAAAGAACTGAAATAATGGGTTCTAGTGTATCTGGGGAAAACGACTCAAGGTAAAGGGAACCATCATCTTTTTCAGATGGCACTCAGAGCCATAAGAGGTTCAGATAGATCCACCCAGCAGTGAGTGCAGTGGGTTTTTCTAGGCAGAAAACACAGAAGAAACATCAAGAAATCACATGATTGGCTTGCCATGTCCAAGTCCTTTTCTAATTTTGTTTTTCTTTTTAAAGCATATTTTTTGCCTGCTACCATGACTTGTAATTTTTGATGATGTTGTTGAAAGCTGATGTATTCATTTGCTATGCGTACCATAGCATTCTGGTAGTTTGATGACAACCTTTGGCATTCCTTGGCTTGAAGTAGCATTACTTCAATCTATTCCTTTATCTTCAAAAGATAATATTCCTGGGTGCATGTCCAACTTTTTTTAAATAAGGACACCAGTTTCAAAGGTAAAGCCCAGACACTGGTTAAGGTAGTGAGGACAGATTTTAATTAGTAACATATTTTGGGGTATTTGTGGGTTTTTCACCTAAAATGTAATCTTACACAGGCTGTAGATTATATCTCTGTTTCCAGGAAGCCCCGTGTGTTGCTTTGTGTGTGCATCAGTCTCTCGAGAACCCCCTGTGAATCAGGAGGCATACGTTCCAGTGACTATAGGGAGTCGAGGGGCTAAAGAGGTAAGTGAAACATCTGGTAGGGGTAAAAGGATGGGTATATATCAAAAGTCAGGGGTGTTTAATGGAAAAGAGGTGCATATCAAAGTGTCAGGGGAGTTCAATGGAAAAAGTTAAGATGGTAAAAGAAAGAAGGAAAAAAGAAGGAAATGGGAAGGGAGCAGTCCTATAAGAGCCACTTTAGGCAGATCTTAAGATTTTCAAATAAACCATTGCAGTTCCGAATTATCCACAGTAAAGTCATTTTGCCTAAAATAGAAGCAGACATGGTTAGTGTCATAGTATATATAGAGAGTAGGAACCCAAAAGGGGTTTAACTGTGGAGTTCCTGTGGGAAGAGTAAGTTCAAATAGAATGAAGAGGTCTCACAAGAAGCCAGAGTGAACATTCCAGCACAGGAGTTAGGAAGTGAATTCCCACTGAAAACAGGGAGCCAGGAAGATAAACAGCCAGCCCAGGAGATGTCTTTCAAAAGCAGCCTGGAATTATAACCCAGCCTTAGAGACTACAGCCAGAAACATAGGAAGAAAATATGTCCTCGCCATGCCTCAGTGCAAATTTCTACACAGTGTTAGGCCAGAAGTTGAACTCGCCACCAAATACCCAAAAAAGTAAGTCAACTGAAGATCAGACAAAGGTTTCTACGCATGCAGAAAGGATTGACTGTTTTGTCCAAGGGCCAGATAAGGGTTCCAATCTGGATTTGAGTTCCAGTGCCAGATAACTGTCAAGACAAACAAAATGGAAAACTGGTTAAAGAGGTAAGAACGTGCTTTAACTAGTCATATACTATTGAAACAGGCAAGAGTTCAGCATGAACTTAACTTTGATGTATCCAGGTTGAGGAAAATGTTAAAGGGAGTTTGAGGAAAGAGAAATGGGAGTTAGTGGGGGCTCAGGAGGGTCAGGGATGTGAGAAATTACAAATCGTGAGAAGGGGGGAGTTGGTTCCTGTGAAACCCATTTGCTTTGTTAACTGATACTTGCTGATGTTGGGCTTCTACCCTCCCACAGAGGTCAGGAGACACCAGGCCTATCTTCAAGTCTTGGCTGGGACAAGCATGCTATAGATTGTCTGTGTACTTACATAAGTTATATGTTGAAATCTTAAACCCCAATGTGATGATATTGGGAGAGGAAGTCTTTGGGGGTTGATTAGATCATGAGTGATGAACTCATGAATGGCCTTAGTGACCTCATAAAAGAGACTCCAGAGAGCTTTCTTGCCTCTTCTGCCATGTGAGGGCACAGCAAGAAGACCATGCTCTATAAATCAGAAAATGGGTCCTTACAGACCAAACTGGCTGGCACCTTTATTGTGGACTTTCCAATCTGTGGAAATGTGAGAAATAAGTGTTGTGTAAGGCCATGGTATTTTTGTTATAGGAACCATGAAGACAGGCAGGTTTCAGTTTTCTCAGACAGTTCACTTTAAGGGAGACTGGGTCGTTCGTTCTAGAGATGTAGACTTGAACTGTTACCAACTATGTTCCTGTCTTTTTCAAGTTTTTATAGACCAAAGTTAAGGCTGAATTGAGAAGGCTCAGAAGACCCTGGCTAGAGTTTCGTCAAGTTTAAAATGATCGTCAACTCTGTATACATCAAAATTGAGTTCAGTGCGTGCTGGACTGTTTTCTCTGTTTCAATAGTATATGACTCATTAAAATATGTTGTTACTACTTTTTCTTCAATCATATTGGATTAGGGACACTTTCTACTAGAGTATGTTCTCATCTTCAATTAACTAATTACATCTGCAATGGTCCTATTTCCAAATAAGGGTACATTCTGAGATAGTTGGGGGTATGACTTCAATATATGAGTCTGTGGGGATACAATTCTTACCATAATTTACATGATGTGTTAGGTAAAGATAAACAGGCGTTTAGTGTGAAGTTTATGTTTATGTGTTAGGCTATGTTTATCGCTAGTTTTACCTCTGATGTCAGAGGCCATAATTTGCTCTAGTGTTCTTATTTTTGTGTCCTCTGTTATCTTTGGCTTTTCTACAGATTCATTGTTAAACAGGATTTGAGGCTTGTCATCCTTCCATGTGCATCCTCTGTTATCATACATGAGATATTTTAATGTGTTTGTCAGTGTGGAAGGGAGAGAAATCATTCTATAGTCCTACAAATTGGTCTGAATCTATTTGCCAGCATGTGTTCTTGGACTGCAACCTTCAAAGAGCTTCTTAACATCCCCTGCCCACCCCCACATAGGTGTGACACAGGTTAGAAGGACCTGGAGTTGGGTATTTTCCTTCTAGCATATTGGTTAGCCTGTGGTAAAACCCCAGTAATACGGCAGCCTCTGTTAAATAGTTTATTTTTTTTAATTATACTTTAAGTTCTAGGGTACATGTACACAACGTGCAGGTTTGTTACATATGTATACATGTGCCATGTTGGTGTGCTACACCCATTAACTCGTCATTTACATTAGGTATATGTCCTAATGCTATCCCTCCCTCCTCCCCCCACCCC
Organism: Homo sapiens; assembly: GCF_000001405.40. Classification (NCBI taxonomy): domain Eukaryota; kingdom Metazoa; phylum Chordata; class Mammalia; order Primates; family Hominidae; genus Homo; species Homo sapiens. Next base: position 248,534,197 of record NC_000001.11, on the reverse strand, counting down.
ACAACAGGCCCTGGTGTGTGATGTCCCCCTTCCTGTGTCCAGGTGTTCTTATTGTTCAATTCCCACCTATAAGTGAGAACATGCGATGTTTGGTTTTTTGTTTTGCAATAGTTTGCTGAGAATGATGGTTTCCAGCTTCATCCATCTCCCTACAAAGGACAAGAACTCATCATTTTTTAAGGCTGCAGAGTATTCCATGGTGTATATGTGCCACATTTTCTTTTGTGTGTGTGTTTTTTTTTTTGTTTTGTTTAAGTTTTTCTTTTATTATTATACTTTAAGTTTTAGGGTACATGTGCACATTGTGCAGATTAGTTACATACGTATACATGTGCCATGCTGGTGCGCTGCACCCACTAACTCGTCATCTAGCATTAGGTATATCTCCCAATGCTATCCCTCCCCCCACCCCACAACAGTCCCCAGAGTGTGATGTTCCCCTTCCTGTGTCCATGTGATCTCATTGTTCAATTCCCACCTATGAGTGAGATTATGCGGTGTTTGGTTTTTTGTTCTTGCGATAGTTTACTGAGAATGATGATTTCCAATTTCATCCATGTCCCTACAAAGGACATGAACTCATCCTTTTTTATGGCTGCATAGTATTCCATGGTGTATATGTGCCACATTTTCTTAATCCAGTCTATCATTGTTGGACATTTGGGTTGGTTCCAAGTCTTTGCTATTGTGAATAATGCCGCAATAAACATACGTGTGCATGGGTCTTATAGCAGCATGATTTATAGTCCTTTGGGTATATACCCAGTAATGGGATGGCTGAGTCAAATGGTATTTCTAGTTCTAGATCCCTGAGGAATCGCCACACTGACTTCCACAATGGTTGAACTAGTTTACAGTCCCACCAACAGTGTAAAAATGTTTCTATTTCTCCACATCCTCTCCAGCACCTGTTGTTTCCTGACTTTTTAATGTTTGCCATTCTAACTGGTGTGAGATGGTATCTCATTGTGGTTTTGATTTGCATTTCTCTGATGGCCGGTGATGATGAGCATTTTTCATGTGTTTTTTGGCTGCATAAATATCTTCTTTTGAGAAGTGTCTGTTCATATCCTTCACCCACTTTTTGATGGGGTTGTTTTTTTCTTGTAAATTTGTTTGAGTTCATTGTAGATTCTGGATATTAGCCCTTTGTCAGATGAGTAGGTTGCGAAAATTTCCTCCCATTTTGTAGGTTGCCTGTTCAGTCTGATGGTAGTTTCTTTTGCTGTGCAGAAGCTCTTTAGTTTAATTAGATCCCATTTGTCAATTTTGGCTTTTGCTGCCATTGCTTTTGGTGTTTTAGACATGAAGTCCTTGCCCATGCCTATGTCCTGAATGGTACTGCCTAGGTTTTCTTCTAGGGCTTTTATGGTTTTAGGTCTAACGTTTAAGTCTTTAATCCATCTTGAATTGATTTTTGTATAAGGTGTAAGGAAGGGATCCAGTTTCAGCTTTCTACATATTGCTAGCCAATTTTCCCAGCACCATTTATTAAATAGGGAATCCTTTCCCCATTGCTTTTCTCAGGTTTGTCAAAGATCAGATAGTTGTAGATATGCGGCGTTATTTCTGAGGGCTCTGTTCTGTTCCATTGATCTATATTTCTGTTTTGGTACCAGTACCATGCTGTTTTGGTTACTGTAGCCTTGTAGTATAGTTTGAATTCAGGTAGTGTGATGCCTCGAGGTTTGTTCTTTTGGCTTAGGATTGACTTGGTGATGTGGGCTCTTTTTTGGTTCCATATGAACTTTAAAGTAGTTTTTTCCAATTCTGTGAAGAAAGGCATTGGTAGCTTGATGGGGATGGCATTGAATCTGTAAATTACCTTGGGCAGTATGGCCATTTTCATGATATTGATTCTTCCTACCCATGAGCATAGAATGTTCTTCCATTTGTTTGTATCCTCTTTTATTTCCTTGAGCAGTGGTTTGTAGTTCTCCTTGAAGATGTCCTTCACATCCCTTGTAAGTTGGATTCCTAGGTATTTTATTCTCTTTGAAGCAATTGTGAATGGGAGTTCACTCATGATTTGGCTCTCTGTCTATTGTTGGTGTATAAGAATGCTTATGATTTTTGTACACTGATTTTGTATCCTGAGATTTTGCTGAAGTTGCTTATCAGCTTAAGGAGATTTTGGGCTGAGACAATGGGGTTTTCTAGATATACAATCATGTCATCTGCAAACAGGGACAATTTGACTTCCTCTTTTCCTAATTGAATACCCTTTATTTCCTTCTCCTGCCTAATTGCCCTGGCCAGAACTTCCAACACTATGTTGAATAGGAGTGGTGAGAGAGGGCATCCTGTCTTGTGCCAGTTTTCAAAGGGAATGCTTCCAGTTTATGCCCATTCAGTATGATATTGGCTGTGGCTTTGTCATAGATAGCTCTTATGATTTTGAAATACATCCCATCAATACCTAATTTATTGAGAGTTTTTAGCATGAAGGGTTGTTGAATTTTGTCAAAGGCCTTTTCTGCATCTATTGAGATAATCATGTGGTTTTTGTCTTTGGCTCTGTTTATATGCTGGATTACATTGATTGATTTGCTTATATTGAACCAGCCTTGCATCCCAGGGATGAAGCCCACTCGATCATGGTGGATAAGCTTTTTGATGTGCTGCTGGATTCGGTTTGCCAGTATTTTATTGAGGATTTTTGCATCAATGTTCATCAAGGATATTGGTCTAAAATTCTCTTTTTTGGTTGTGTCTCTGCCCAGCTTTGGTATCAGGATGATGCTGGCCTCATAAAATGAGTTAGGGAGGATTCCTTCTTTTTCTATTGATTGGAATAGTTTCAGAAGGAATGGTACCAGTTCCTCCTTGTACCTCTGGCAGAATTCGGCTGTGAATCCGTCTGGTCCTGGACTCTTTTTGGTTGGTAAGCTATTGATTATTGCCACAATTTCAAATCCTGTTATTGGTCTATTCAGAGATTCAACTTCTTCCTGGTTTAGTCTTGGGAGAGTGTATGTGTCGAGGAATTTATCCATTTCTTCTAGATTTTCTAGTTTATTTGCGTAGAGGTGTTTGTAGTATTCTCTGATGGTAGTTTGTATTTCTGTGGGATAGGTGGTGATATCCCCTTTATCATTTTTTATTGCTTCTATTTGATTCTTCTCTCTTTTTTTATTAGTCTTGCTAGCGGTCTATTTTGTTGATCCTTTCAAAAAACCAGCTCCTGGATTCATTAATTTTTTGATGGGTTTTTTGTGTGTCTATTTCCTTCAGTTCTGCTCTGATTTTAGTTATTTCTTGCCTTCTGCTAGCTTTTGAATGTGTTTGCTCTTGCTTTTCTACTTCTTTTAATTGTGATGTTAGGGTGTCAATTTTGGATCTTTCCTGCTTTCTCTTGTGGGCATTTAGTGCTATAAATTTCCCTCTACACACTGCTTTGAATGTGTCCCAGAGATTCTGGTATGTTGTGTCTTTGTTCTCATTGGTTTCAAAGAACATCTTTATTTCTGCCTTCATTTTGTTATATACCCAGTAGTCATTCAGGAGCAGGTTGTTCAGTTTCCATGTAGTTGAGTGGTTTTGAGTGAGATTCTTAATCCTTAGTTCTAGTTTGATTGCACTGTGGTCTGAGAGATAGTTTGTTATAATTTCTGTTCTTTTACATTTGCTGAGGAGAGCTTTACTTCCAAGTATGTGGTCAATTTTGGAATAGGTGTGGTGTGGTGCTGAAAAAAATGTATATTCTGTTGATTTGGGATGGAGAGTTCTGTAGATGTCTATTAGGTCTGCTTGGTGCAGAGCTGAGTTCAATTCCTGGGTATCCTTGTTGACTTTCTGTCTTGTTGATCTGTCTAATGTTGACAGTGGGGTGTTAAAGTCTCCCATTATTAATGTGTGGGAGTCTAAGTCTCTTTGTAGGTCACTCAGGACTTGCTTTATGAATCTGAGTGCTCCTCTGTTGGGTGCATATATATTTAGGATAGTTGGCTCTTCTTGTTGAATTGATCCCTTTACCATTATGTAATGGCCTTCTTTGTCTCTTTTGATCTTTGTTGGTTTAAAGTCTGTTTTATCAGACTAGGATTGCAACCCCTGCCTTTTTTTGTTTTCCATTTGCTTGGTATATTTTCCTCCATCCTTTTATTTTGAGCCTATGTGTGTCTCTGCACGTGAGATGGGTTTCCTGAATACAGCACACTGATGGGTCTTGACTGTTTATCCAATTTGCCAGTCTGTGTCTTTTAATTGGAACATTTAGTCCATTTACATTTAAAGTTAATATTGTTATGTGTGAATCTGATCCTGTCATTATGATGTCAGCTGGTTATTTTGCTCGTTAGTTGATGCAGTTTCTTCCTAGTCTCAATGGTCTTTACATTTTGGCATGATTTTGCAGCGGCTGGTACCGGTTGTTCCTTTCCATGTTTAGTGCTTCCTTCAGGAGCTCTTTTAGGGCAGGCCTGGTGGTGACAAAATCTCTCAGCATTTGCTTGTCTGTAAAGTATTTTATTTCTCCTTCATTTAGGAAGCTTAGTTTGGCTGGATATGAAATTCTGGGTTGAAAATTCTTTTCTTTAGAATGTTGAATATTGGCCCCCACTCTCTTCTGGCTTGTAGGGTTTCTGCCAAGAGATCCGCTGTTAGTCTGATGGGCTTCCCTTTGAGGGTAACCTGACCTTTCTCTCTGGCTGCCCTTAACATTTTTTCCTTCATTTCAACTTTGGTGAATCTGACAATTATGTTTCTTGGAGTTGCTCTTCTCGAGGAGTATCTTTGTGGCATTCTCTGTATTTCCTGAACCTGAATTTTGGCCTGCCTTGCTAGATTGGGGAAGTTCTCCTGGATAATATCCTGCAGAGTGTTTTCCAACTTGGTTCCATTCTCACCATCACTTTCAGGTACACCAATCAGATGTAGATTTGGTCTTTTCACATAGTCCCATATTTCTTGGAGGCTTTGCTCTTTTTATTCTTTTTTCTCTAAACTTCCCTTCTCACTTCATTTGATTCATTTCATCTTCCATCACTGATAGCCTTTCTCCAGTTGATTGCATTGCCTCCTGAGGCTTCTGCATTCTTCATGTAGTTCTCAAGCCTTGGTTTTCAGCTCCATCAGCTCCTTTAAGCATTTCTCTGTATTGGTTATTCTAGTTATACATTCTTCTAAATTTTTTTCAAAGTTTTCAACTTCTTTGCCTTTAGTTTGAATGTCCTCCCGTAGCTCAGAGTAATTTGATCGTCTGAAGCCTTCTTCTCTCAGCTCGTCAAAGTCATTCTCCATCCAGCTTTGTTCCGTTGCTGGTGAGGAACTGCGTTCCTTTGGAAGAGGAGAGGCGCTCTGCTTTTTAGAGTTTCCAGTTTTTCTGTTCTGTTTTTTCCCATCTTTGTGGTTTTATCTACTTTTGGTCTTCGATGATGGTGATGTACAGAAGGGTTTTTGGTGTGGATGTCCTTTCTGTTTGTCAGTTTTCCTTCTAACAGACAGGACCCTCAGCTGCAGGTCTGTTGGAGTACCCTGCCGTGTGAGGTGTCAGTCTGCCCCTGCTGGGGGGTGCCTCCCAGTTAGGCTGCTCAGGGGTCAGGGGTCAGGGACCCACTTGAGGAGGCAGTCTGCCCGTTCTCAGATCTCCAGCTGCGTGCTGGGAGAACCAGTGCTCTCTTCAAAGCTGTCAGACAGGGACATTTAAGTCTGCAGAGGTTACTGCTGTCTTTGTCTGTGCCCTGCCCTCAGAGGTGGAGCCTACAGAGGCAGGCAGGCCTCCTTGAGCTGTGGTGGGCTCCACCCAGTTCGAGCTTCCTGGCTGCTTTGTTTACCTAAGCAAGCCTGGGCAATGGCGGGTGCCCCTCCCCCAGCCTTGCTGCCGCCTTGCAGTTTGATCTCAGACTGCTGTGCTAGCAATCAGCGAGACTCCGACTCCGTGGGAGTACGACCCTCCGAGCCAGGTGCGGGATATAATCTCGTGGTGCGCTGTTTTTTAAGCACGTCGGAAAAGTGCAGTATTTGGGTGGGAGTGACCCAATTTTCCACGTGCCCTCCGTCACCCCTTTCTTTGACTAGGAAAGGGAACTCCCTGACCCCTTGCGCTTCCCGAGTGAGGCAGTGCCTCGCCCTGCTTTGGCTTGCACATGGTGCGCGCACCCACTGACCTGCACCCACTGTCTGGCACTCCCTAGTGAGACGAACCCGGTACCTCAGATGGAAAAGCAGAAATCACCTGTCTTCTGCGTCGCTCACGCTGGGAGCTGTAGACCGGAGCTGTTCCTATTCGGCCATCTTCGCCACATTTTCTTAATCCACTTTATCATTGTTGGACATTTGGGTTGGTTCCAGGTCTTTGCTATTGTGAATACTGCTGCAATAAACATACATGTGCATGTGTCTTTATAGCAGCATGATTTATAATCCTTTGGGTATATACCCAGTAATGGGATGGCTGGGTCAAATGGTATTTCTAGTTCTAGATACCTGAGGAATCACCACACTGTTTTCCACAATGGTTGAACCAGTTTACAGTCCCACCAACAGTGTAAAAGTGTTCCTATTTCTCCACATCCTCTCCAGCACCTGTTTGCTCAATGAAATAAAAGAGGATACAAACAAATGGAAGAACATTCCATGCTCATGGATAGGAAGAAGAAATACCATGAAAATGGCCATACTGCCCAAGGTAATTTATAGATTCAATGCCATCCCCATCAAGCTACCAATGACTTTCTTCACAGAATTGGAAAAAACTAAAGTTCATATGGAACCAAAAAAGAGCCTGCATCGCCAAGTCAATCCTAAGCCAAAAGAACAAAGCTGGAGGCATCATGCTACCTAACTTTAAACTATACTACAAGGCTACAGTAACCAAAATAGCATGGCACTGGTACCAAAACAGAGAGATAGACCAATGGAACAGAACAGAACCCTCCGAAATAATACCACACATCTTCAACTATCTGATCTTTGACAAACCTGACAAAACAAGAAATAGGGAAAGGATTCCCTATTTAACAAATGGTGCTGGGAAAACTGACTAGCCATATGTAGAAAGCTGAAACTGGATCCCTTCCTTACACCTTATACAAAAATTAATTCAAGATGGATTAAAGACGTAAATGTTAGACCTAAAACCATAAAAACCCTAGAAGAAAACCTAGGCAATTCCATTCAGGACATAGGCATGGATAAGGACTTCATGTCTAAAACACCAAAAGCAATGGCAACAAAAGCCAAAATTGACAAATGGGATCTAATTAAACTAAAGAGCTTCTGCACAGCAAAAGAAACTACCATCAGAGTGTACAGGCAACCTAGAGAATGGGAGAAAATTTTTGCAGTCTACTCATCTGACAAAGGGATAATATCCAGAATCTACAAAGAACTCAAACAAATTTACAAGAAAAAAAAAACCCATCAAAAAGTGGGCGAAAGATATGAACAGACACTTCTCAAAAGATATTTATGCAGCCCACAGCCACATGAAAAAATGCTCATTATCACTGGCCATCAGAGAAATGCAAATCAAAACCACAATGAGATATCATCTCACACCAGTTAGAATGGCAATCATTAAATAGTTACTACTGAGATCAGGTTATGGTGAACAGAGAGCTCTGGGCATATTTCAAATGTTTATTTTCTCCTCTCTCTGCCAAAGCAAAAGGGAATTTCTCTCTACTTTGCACAGTGAGAAGCTGTTGAGACTCCTGAAGGTAAAAATCATGAGTATAGGGAGGATTTCCTAAGACTGGGGCTCAACATTTTTTTTATTTGTCAAGTTAGTTCACATGAGCTTCCAGCAATTGATAAATTCAACTTTAAGTATCCCTATGGTACCAGCCCCAGCTGCTGATTACTGTTCCAGGACATTTATTGAAGAAACTCTCCTTTCCCCAGTGTATGTTCTTGGCACCTTTGTCAAAAATCAGTTGGCTGTAAATACATGAATCTATTTCTAGGTTCTCCATTCTGTTCTATTGGCCCATGTGTCTGTTTTTATGCCAATACCAGGCTGTTTTGGTAACTATAACTTGGTAGTATATTTTGAAGTCTAGTAATGTGATGGCTCCAGCTTTTTTCCTCTTTTTGCTCAGGATAGCTTTGGCCATTCTGTGTTGCTTTTATTATAAGACCCTTGTTTATTTTTCTTGGTACTTTTATTTTCCCTGTCTGATCATTCATACTCAAATGAGACCAAAGTGATAACATATACATTTTTTTCTTTTTTTTTTGAGATGGAGTCTTGCTCTGTTGCCCAGGCTGGAGTACAGTGGCACGATCTTGGCTCACTGCAACCTCTGCCTCCTAGGTTCAAGCAATTCTCCTGCCTCAGCCTCCTGAGTAACTGGGATTATAGGCATGCACCACTGTGCCTGGCTAATTTTTTGTATTTTTTTTAGGAGACATGGGGTTTCACCATGCTGGCCAGGCTGAGCTTGAACTCCTGACCTCATGATCCACCTGACTCAGCCTCCCAAAGTGCTATGATTACAAGTGTGAGCCACTGTGCCCTGCCTAAGATTAATATTTTTATGTGTGAATTTGATCTTGTCATCGTGATGCTAGCTGGTTATTTTGCACATTAGGTAATGCAGTTTCTTCACAGTATCATTGGTCTTTATATTTTGGTGTTTTTTTGTAGTAGCTGGTACTTGTCTTTTTACTGACCATTTGGGTTAGGGTTTAAATAGTAAGTGCCTCCCATTTTTCTTCTCTGAGCTGTGGTCCTATATGGTTTTTGTTTTTCATGAATTCATTAATATTTGTTATGTAAAATCATTTTATTTTTTCTTAAAAATATCTTTTAAAAAAAATTCATGGTGTTTGGAGTGGTGGAACCATATACTTATTACAGCATTCTCATTGTATAGTTTTTAAATAATTGCAATACTGAATGGTCATTTAACTAAGTGATAGTTTTTTTCTTGGCGCATCCTTTGAAAACGTGTTCTGCAGATCAAGCTAGTAATGTGTGCAAATTGACTGATGTGTACCTGTTTTAGATTTACTAATTGTATTTATAAAATACATTATAAGTACATAATTATAAGCATTCACAAACAAAAGTATGCTCAATGTAGGTATTTAAAAAAGAGAAACTACTCATGTTATTCAATTATAGGGAAGATTTTTAATAAATGGTGGATATTTTTTAGATTAATCAGAAAAATGCTCACATTATAAATAAAAATAGTATGAAATTATACATGTATGATGATTATAAAAGCAGTATAAACATATCCATATCATAGGAAAGCTCTAAATTCAAGAAAGTAGTAACAGGATTTTATTTTCAAATGTGTTCCCATTTTCATCTGCAGTTAAGTAGTTTTTTTAGGTTGCTTTGCCTATGTTATATCTATTATTTTCTGGTTTCCTTTTGGGTGCAAATAACTTACAGCTAAAGATGCTAATTTCAGCAATAAGCAGATATTCTATTTTTTTCTGAATTATGTTTGAATTTATTGTATACAGTAATAATTTGATTTTATTTTCAGTGGGATTTGTATTCCATATTACCTTAAATGGATGTGAGTTTGTCTTTGAAAATGGTTGCTTCACAATTCATATGTAGGTTTTTCTACATATTGTGTTCATATCATTGCTTTACACATGGTTGTCTTTTCACCTGGAGCTATTTCTTTCCTTTAAATGCCACATCTTTTGCCCTGGGGCCATATTCCATGTAAATTGATTGAGACTCTGACACAGGTACATTCTTTCCTATGCTGTGTTGCTCGGGTTATCAGGAATAATGCATTTGTACATGTGACGCTTCCTGTAGAACTACTTCTCTACTTGCATATTGTAAATAAAAACATGTGCTCCTCAGCATGTTCTGCTCAGTTCCCAACTCTCCTCTCCATTACTGGAGGAGGAAAATCACATAAGAATATCCTAGAAGACAAATTTAACCAGGCTTCTTTTCCCTCGTTTTTGTTAAATTGGATATTCATCATTTTGTTTGCTAAAAGTATATTGAAGAGGTGCCAGCTGGACAGGGTATTTGTGAAGAGGCAGCCTGAGTCATTAGTGAATTCTCCTGATGCCTTTTTGTTCTTGTGTGCGCAGCCATTTTGCCTTCAGTCCAGGCTTTGGTAGGAGAGGCAGGTCCAAACGTTATCCTTAACATTCGTAGACAGGCTACAATATTCTCACACCAGGATGAATTATTATAAATCTGAATGTTGGAAGGCTGAGGCAGAGGGATCACTTAAACCCAGGAGGTCAAGGCTGCAGTGAGCCATGATTGAGCCACTGCACTCCAGCCTGGGCAACAGAGCAAGACCCTGTCCAAAAAAGAAAAGTCTAAATCACTTGAAAATTCCACTTCCACCCCAGATTCTGCCTGCATTTTACTCTTCATTTGCATTGATGTTTTCATGCTTTTTTCATGTGTATCATAATGAGAATATGAAGTAAAATTACAACCACAGATTAAATCACTTTTTTCTATAATTGCACAGTTCTCTTAAAATACTTGAGGTTGACGAATTGATGAAGTTCAATCGTTTTGGGAAAAGAAAGCAAGAAAGAGGCTGAGACACACAAAGATACACAGAGAGATAGAGACAGAATTAAATCAGAAAGTAAAAGTTTGGTCAAATATAAGAATACATTTATTAAAATGCTTCTAAATATTTCATTTTTTTTGCTGTTTTGGAAACCAAACATATAACTATGATCGTTAACGTGAGACAGTGTGTGGGATTCATATTTCAAATTTTTGAAGTATAAAATTACATAAGTAACTGTTTTCCAGAGTTTAAGGCCAAAAACAATAACTTATTTTATGAATTTTGTATAAATGTTAAAACACATTTTAGTATATGGCAATTTTACTCAACTTTTAATCAATCTCCTTAATTCAAGTTTGCTTATTTGATTCCTTTAATAAAATATTAGTCATTATTTGCATCCCACAATTCTGTGGAACCAAAGCATCACAACTCTTAATATTTGTGTTTCTCGTGTTGTAAATAAGCCAATAGAGTGGGATGGTTCCATTCTCCAGTTAAAAGTGACATATTCTGGGAAAATGGTCATGTATTTTTTCAGTCTGTTATATACATTGCTTTGCCTAGTTAGAGATATATGTATACATATATCTCAAATGTGAAATGTAGAAATGGTAGTGTGGATCAAGTGCTATGGAAACATATTATGAAACAGTTAATTCTGCACAAGGATGAGAAGGATGGTGTTTCAGGACAGCTAGTGAGTGCAGGTGACATTTCAGCTGAGTTTTGAAGCATTAGTAGAAGTCTATCAGATGGGCTGGCACATTAGAAGGAAATAATGGATACATGAACCTTGATGGCAGGTGGATGAAGGACAAACATTTTTTTCCAGATAGAACACAGGGTCTTGGATTGACAAGAGGAATGTCTGGGAGGATGAACCCTCATGCTGCTTTGGTGTGTTTCTCTTCTTTAGAATTCCAATGCTTCCTAGTCCCTGTGGCTTTGGGATTGACAAGAGGAATGTCTGGGGAGGATGAATCCTCACGCTGCCTTGAGGTGTTTCCCTTCTTTAGAATTCCAATGCTTCCTAGTCCCTGTGGCTTTGGGATTGACAAGAGGAATGTCTGGGGAGGATGAACCCTCACTCTGCCTTGAGGTGTTTCCCTTGTTTAGAATTCCAGGTGTTTCCTAGTCCTTGTGGCTTTGTCCAGCAGCACTACCCAGTATCAGGGTCCTCAAGGCCCCTTTCACATCTTTGTTTCTCAGAGTGTAGATAATGGGGTTTAAAAGTGGGGTGACTATGGTATAGAAAAGAGAAACAAACTTTCCCTGGTTTTTGGATCTCCTATTGGCCGGTTGAAGGTACATGAATATGATGGTCCCATAGAAAATGATGACCACAACCAGGTGAGACGAACAGGTCCCAAAGGCCTTTTGGCGGCCCGCAGCTGATTTTATCCTTAACACAGCTTGAGTGATAAAGCCATAGGAGACTAAGATGAGTAACACCGGGACAATTAGAAAGACTACACTGGCCACAAAGAGTTCTGCCTCGTTGAAAGTCGTATCCACACAGGCCAGTTTGATGAGCACTGGCACCTCACAGAAAATATGATCCAGTGTGCGATGACCACAGAGGGGCAGCTGCACAGTGAGGGAGCACTGAATTAGGGAGGTGATGAGGCCGCTGAGCCATGCTCCACCGGCCAGAGACGCACAGAACCTGGGGTGCATAATGGCTATGTAGCGCAGTGGCCGGCAGACAGCAGCATAGCGGTCATAAGCCATGACGGCCAAGAGAATACACTCAGACGAGCCCAACCCCATGGCCACATAGAGCTGGGCCACACAGCCACCGTAGCTCATGGTTTTGTCTTTCTTATTCATGGTAACCAGCAACTGTGGGGCAACACTGGTGGTAAAGCAGATGTCCACACACGAGAGGTTGCTGAGGAAGAAGTACATTGGAGTGTGGAGTCTGGAGTCCAGACAACATACTAGTATGAGGGCAGTGTTCCCCAGAAGGCTCAAGACGTAGAAGTACAAAATGATGGCAAAAAGAAACCTCTCTAGCTGAGGCTGATCTGAAAATCCCAGGAGAAGAAATCCCTTTTCAGAGCTGTTGTTGGTTTCCTCCATTTTTCCTGCAGCTTCAGGACTCTTCAGCTTCAAATACTAAGTGATTAATATTTGGGGATAGAAAGTAATGAGGTCAAGAATGGTAATCCACAGTCGTTTACAGTATAATTATCTTCCTTATATATCACCTAAAACATGTTGTGAAGACCTATAGAACTTTCCTCAACATAAATCCATGGGCGGGAAATGCCACTTCCTTCTATTTTTATTGAATAAAGTTTTACTCAAACAACAAAAGTATTGTATTAACATTTGTTTTATTTGATATTTGTATTTATTCACTCTTTGCTTATTCTTGTACTTTGCCCATTTTTACACCGATATATTTATATGTTCAAATGATGTATTTATGCAGGTAAAGCAACTGACCCAATGTCCTTTTGATGCAAATATTTTGTTATATGTATACAAATATATATATTTTTTGAGATGGAGTCGTTCTGTCGCCTGGACTAGAGTACAGTGCCGTGATCTCTGTTCCCTTCAACCTCTGCTTCCTGGGTTCAAGTAATTCTCTTGCCTCAGCCTCAAGAGTAGCTGAGACTACAGGCGTGTGCCACCACTCCCAGCTAATTGTTGTATTTTTTTTTTTTTTTTTTTTTTTTTAGATGGAATCTCACTCTGTCTCCCAGGGTGGAGTGCAGTGGCACAATCTCTGCTCACTGCAAACCACCTCCCACGTTCAAGCAATTCTCCTGCCTTAGCCTCCCAAGTAGCTGGGATTACAGGCACAGGCCCCATGCCCGCTAATTTTTGTGTGTATATATATATATTTTTATATATATATATATTTTTTTTTAGTAGAGATGGGGGTTTCACCATGTTGGCCAGGCTGGTCTGGAACTCCTGACCTCAGGTGACCTAACTACCTCAGCCTCCCAAAGTGCTGGGATTATAGGCGTGAGCCACTGTGCCTGGCCTAATTTTTGTAATTTTAGTACAAATGGTGTTTCACCATGTTGGCTAGGGTGCTCTTGAACAACTGACCTCAAGTGATCCACCTGACTCAGCCTCCCAAAGTGCTGGGGTTACAGGCATGAGTCACTGTGCCCGACCTCTATACAAATCTTGACTAATATTCACAAGCTACTATCAAAGTGATATTGTCAAATGCCAAGTCAAAATAAAAGGGAGAATTTGTAAAATGAAATGTGTGTACATGTTACTCTATATGTATAAGAGTTGTCTAAGTAGAATTACATCGAAAGCCAAAGCAAACTTTTTTTTAAACTATAAGTTCTAGGGTACATGTGCAGAACGTGCACGTTACATAAGTATACACATGCCATGGTGGTTTCCTGCAGCCATCAAATTGTCATCTATGTTAGGTATTTCTCCTAATGCTATCCCTCCTTCCTAGCCCCCCAACCCACCAACAGGCCCTGGTGTGTGATGTTCCCCTCCCTGTGTCCATGTGTTCTTATTGTTCAACTCCCATTTATGAATGAGAACATGCGATGTTTGCTTTTCTGTTCTTGTGTTAGTTTGCTGAAAATGATGGTTTCCACCTTCATCCATGTCCCTGCAAAGGACATGAATGCATCCTTTTCTATGGCTGCATAGTATTCCATGGTGTATATGTGCCACACTTTCTTTATCCAGTCTATCATTGATGGGCATTTAGGTTGATTCCAAGTCTTTGCTGTTGTGAATAGTGCCACAATAAACATGTGTCCATGTGACTTTATAGAATGATTTATAATCCTTTGGATATATATGCCACACTGCCCAAAGTAAGTTATAGATTCAATGCTATCCCCATCAAGCTAGCTTGACCTTCTTCACAGAATTAGAAAAAACTACTTTAAATTTCATATGGAACCAAAAAAAGGCCATATAGCCAAGACAATCCTAAGCAAAAAGGACAAAGCTGGAGGCATCACACTACCTGACTTCGAACTATACTACAAGGCTACAGTAACCAAAACAGCATGGTAGTGGTACCAAAACAGATATATAGACCAATGGAACAGAACAGAGGCCTCGGAAATAACACCGCACATCTACAACCATCTGATCTTTGACAAAACTGACAAAAACAAGCAATGGGAAAAAAAATTCCCTGTTTAATAAATGGTGCTGGGAAAACTGGCTAGCCATATGCAGAAAACTGAAACTGGACTTCTTCCTTACATCTTATAAAAAATTAACTCAAGATAGATTAAAGACTTAAATGTTAGACCTAAAACAATAAAAACCCTAGAAGAAAACCTAGGCAATACCATTCAGGACATAGACGTGGGTAAAGACTTCATGACTAAAACACCAAAAGCAATGGCAACAAAAGCCAAAGTTGACAAATGGGATCTAATTAAAGAGCTTCTGTGCAGCAAAGGAAACTATCATCATAGTGAACAGGCAAGCTATAGAATGGGAGAAAACCAAAAACCCTTCTGTACATCACCATCATCGAAGACCAAAAGTAGATAAAACCACAAAGATGGGAAAAAACAGAACAGAAAAACTGGAAACTCTAAAAAGCAGAGCGCCTCTCCTCTTCCAAAGGAACGCAGTTCCTCACCAGCAACGGAACAAAGCTGGATGGAGAATGACTTTGACGAGCTGAGAGAAGAAGGCTTCAGACGATCAAATTACTCTGAGCTACGGGAGGACATTCAAACTAAAGGCAAAGAAGTTGAAAACTTTGAAAAAAATTTAGAAGAATGTATAACTAGAATAACCAATACAGAGAAATGCTTAAAGGAGCTGATGGAGCTGAAAACCAAGGCTTGAGAACTACATGAAGAATGCAGAAGCCTCAGGAGGCAATGCAATCAACTGGAGAAAGGCTATCAGTGATGGAAGATGAAATGAATCAAATGAAGTGAGAAGGGAAGTTTAGAGAAAAAAGAATAAAAAGAGCAAAGCCTCCAAGAAATATGGGACTATGTGAAAAGACCAAATCTACATCTGATTGGTGTACCTGAAAGTGATGGTGAGAATGGAACCAAGTTGGAAAACACTCTGCAGGATATTATCCAGGAGAACTTCCCCAATCTAGCAAGGCAGGCCAAAATTCAGGTTCAGGAAATACAGAGAATGCCACAAAGATACTCCTCGAGAAGAGCAACTCCAAGAAACATAATTGTCAGATTCACCAAAGTTGAAATGAAGGAAAAAATGTTAAGGGCAGCCAGAGAGAAAGGTCAGGTTACCCTCAAAGGGAAGCCCATCAGACTAACAGCGGATCTCTTGGCAGAAACCCTACAAGCCAGAAGAGAGTGGGGGCCAATATTCAACATTCTAAAGAAAAGAATTTTCAACCCAGAATTTCATATCCAGCCAAACTAAGCTTCCTAAATGAAGGAGAAATAAAATACTTTACAGACAAGCAAATGCTGAGAGATTTTGTCACCACCAGGCCTGCCCTAAAAGAGCTCCTGAAGGAAGCACTAAACATGGAAAGGAACAACCGGTACCAGCCGCTGCAAAATCATGCCAAAATGTAAAGACCATTGAGACTAGGAAGAAACTGCATCAACTAACGAGCAAAATAACCAGCTGACATCATAATGACAGGATCAGATTCACACATAACAATATTAACTTTAAATGTAAATGGACTAAATGTTCCAATTAAAAGACACAGACTGGCAAATTGGATAAACAGTCAAGACCCATCAGTGTGCTGTATTCAGGAAACCCATCTCACGTGCAGAGACACACATAGGCTCAAAATAAAAGGATGGAGGAAAATATACCAAGCAAATGGAAAACAAAAAAAGGCAGGGGTTGCAATCCTAGTCTGATAAAACAGACTTTAAACCAACAAAGATCAAAAGAGACAAAGAAGGCCATTACATAATGGTAAAGGGATCAATTCAACAAGAAGAGCCAACTATCCTAAATATATATGCACCCAACAGAGGAGCACTCAGATTCATAAAGCAAGTCCTGAGTGACCTACAAAGAGACTTAGACTCCCACACATTAATAATGGGAGACTTTAACACCCCACTGTCAACATTAGACAGATCAACAAGACAGAAAGTCAACAAGGATACCCAGGAATTGAACTCAGCTCTGCACCAAGCAGACCTAATAGACATCTACAGAACTCTCCATCCCAAATCAACAGAATATACATTTTTTTCAGCACCACACCACACCTATTCCAAAATTGACCACATACTTGGAAGTAAAGCTCTCCTCAGCAAATGTAAAAGAACAGAAATTATAACAAACTATCTCTCAGACCACAGTGCAATCAAACTAGAACTAAGGATTAAGAATCTCACTCAAAACCACTCAACTACATGGAAACTGAACAACCTGCTCCTGAATGACTACTGGGTATATAACAAAATGAAGGCAGAAATAAAGATGTTCTTTGAAACCAATGAGAACAAAGACACAACATACCAGAATCTCTGGGACACATTCAAAGCAGTGTGTAGAGGGAAATTTATAGCACTAAATGCCCACAAGAGAAAGCAGGAAAGATCCAAAATTGACACCCTAACATCACAATTAAAAGAAGTAGAAAAGCAAGAGCAAACACATTCAAAAGCTAGCAGAAGGCAAGAAATAACTAAAATCAGAGCAGAACTGAAGGAAATAGACACACAAAAAACCCATCAAAAAATTAATGAATCCAGGAGCTGGTTTTTTGAAAGGATCAACAAAATAGACCGCTAGCAAGACTAATAAAAAAAGAGAGAAGAATCAAATAGAAGCAATAAAAAATGATAAAGGGGATATCACCACCTATCCCACAGAAATACAAACTACCATCAGAGAATACTACAAACACCTCTACGCAAATAAACTAGAAAATCTAGAAGAAATGGATAAATTCCTCGACACATACACTCTCCCAAGACTAAACCAGGAAGAAGTTGAATCTCTGAATAGACCAATAACAGGATTTGAAATTGTGGCAATAATCAATAGCTTACCAACCAAAAAGAGTCCAGGACCAGACGGATTCACAGCCGAATTCTGCCAGAGGTACAAGGAGGAACTGGTACCATTCCTTCTGAAACTATTCCAATCAATAGAAAAAGAAGGAATCCTCCCTAACTCATTTTATGAGGCCAGCATCATCCTGATACCAAAGCTGGGCAGAGACACAACCAAAAAAGAGAATTTTAGACCAATATCCTTGATGAACATTGATGCAAAAATCCTCAATAAAATACTGGCAAACCGAATCCAGCAGCACATCAAAAAGCTTATCCACCATGATCGAGTGGGCTTCATCCCTGGGATGCAAGGCTGGTTCAATATAAGCAAATCAATCAATGTAATCCAGCATATAAACAGAGCCAAAGACAAAAACCACATGATTATCTCAATAGATGCAGAAAAGGCCTTTGACAAAATTCAACAACCCTTCATGCTAAAAACTCTCAATAAATTAGGTATTGATGGGATGTATTTCAAAATCATAAGAGCTATCTATGACAAAGCCACAGCCAATATCATACTGAATGGGCATAAACTGGAAGCATTCCCTTTGAAAACTGGCACAAGACAGGATGCCCTCTCTCACCACTCCTATTCAACATAGTGTTGGAAGTTCTGGCCAGGGCAATTAGGCAGGAGAAGGAAATAAAGGGTATTCAATTAGGAAAAGAGGAAGTCAAATTGTCCCTGTTTGCAGATGACATGATTGTATATCTAGAAAACCCCATTGTCTCAGCCCAAAATCTCCTTAAGCTGATAAGCAACTTCAGCAAAATCTCAGGATACAAAATCAGTGTACAAAAATCATAAGCATTCTTATACACCAACAATAGACAGAGAGCCAAATCATGAGTGAACTCCCATTCACAATTGCTTCAAAGAGAATAAAATACCTAGGAATCCAACTTACAAGGGATGTGAAGGACATCTTCAAGGAGAACTACAAACCACTGCTCAAGGAAATAAAAGAGGATACAAACAAATGGAAGAACATTCTATGCTCATGGGTAGGAAGAATCAATATCATGAAAATGGCCATACTGCCCAAGGTAATTTACAGATTCAATGCCATCCCCATCAAGCTACCAATGCCTTTCTTCACAGAATTGGAAAAAACTACTTTAAAGTTCATATGGAACCAAAAAAGAGCCCACATCACCAAGTCAATCCTAAGCCAAAAGAACAAACCTCGAGGCATCACACTACCTGAATTCAAACTATACTACAAGGCTACAGTAACCAAAACAGCATGGTACTGGTACCAAAACAGAAATATAGATCAATGGAACAGAACAGAGCCCTCAGAAATAACGCCGCATATCTACAACTATCTGATCTTTGACAAACCTGAGAAAAGCAATGGGGAAAGGATTCCCTATTTAATAAATGGTGCTGGGAAAATTGGCTAGCAATATGTAGAAAGCTGAAACTGGATCCCTTCCTTACACCTTATACAAAAATCAATTCAAGATGGATTAAAGACTTAAACGTTAGACCTAAAACCATAAAAGCCCTAGAAGAAAACCTAGGCAGTACCATTCAGGACATAGGCATGGGCAAGGACTTCATGTCTAAAACACCAAAAGCAATGGCAGCAAAAGCCAAAATTGACAAATGGGATCTAATTAAACTAAAGAGCTTCTGCACAGCAAAAGAAACTACCATCAGACTGAACAGGCAACCTACAAAATGGGAGGAAATTTTCGCAACCTACTCATCTGACAAAGGGCTAATATCCAGAATCTACAATGAACTCAAACAAATTTACAAGAAAAAAACAACCCCATCAAAAAGTGGGTGAAGGATATGAACAGACACTTCTCAAAAGAAGATATTTATGCAGCCAAAAAACACATGAAAAATGCTCATCATCACCGGCCATCAGAGAAATGCAAATCAAAACCACAATGAGATACCATCTCACACCAGTTAGAATGGCAAACATTAAAAAGTCAGGAAACAACAGGTGCTGGAGAGGATGTGGAGAAATAGAAACATTTTTACACTGTTGGTGGGACTGTAAACTAGTTCAACCATTGTGGAAGTCAGTGTGGCGATTCCTCAGGGATCTAGAACTAGAAATACCATTTGACTCAGCCATCCCATTACTGGGTATATACCCAAAGGACTATAAATCATGCTGCTATAAGACCCATGCACACGTATGTTTATTGCGGCATTATTCACAATAGCAAAGACTTGGAACCAACCCAAATGTCCAACAATGATAGACTGGATTAAGAAAATGTGGCACATATACACCATGGAATACTATGCAGCCATAAAAAAGGATGAGTTCATGTCCTTTGTAGGGACATGGATGAAATTGGAAATCATCATTCTCAGTAAACTATCGCAAGAACAAAAAACCAAACACCGCATAATCTCACTCATAGGTGGGAATTGAACAATGAGATCACATGGACACAGGAAGGGGAACATCACACTCTGGGGACTGTTGTGGGGTGGGGGGAGGGATAGCATTGGGAGATATACCTAATGCTAGATGACGAGTTAGTGGGTGCAGCGCACCAGCATGGCACATGTATACGTATGTAACTAATCTGCACAATGTGCACATGTACCCTAAAACTTAAAGTATAATAATAAAAGAAAAACTTAAACAAAACAAAAAAAAAAACACACACACAAAAGAAAATGTGGCACATATACACCATGGAATACTCTGCAGCCTTAAAAAATGATGAGTTCTTGTCCTTTGTAGGGAGATGGATGAAGCTGGAAACCATCATTCTCAGCAAACTATTGCAAAACAAAAAACCAAACATCGCATGTTCTCACTTATAGGTGGGAATTGAACAATAAGAACACCTGGACACAGGAAGGGGGACATCACACACCAGGGCCTGTTGTGGGGTGGGGGGAGGAGGGAGGGATAGCATTAGGACATATACCTAATGTAAATGACGAGTTAATGGGTGTAGCACACCAACATGGCACATGTATACATATGTAACAAACCTGCACGTTGTGTACATGTACCCTAGAACTTAAAGTATAATTAAAAAAAATAAACTATTTAACAGAGGCTGCCGTATTACTGGGGTTTTACCACAGGCTAACCAATATGCTAGAAGGAAAATACCCAACTCCAGGTCCTTCTAACCTGTGTCACACCTATGTGGGGGTGGGCAGGGGATGTTAAGAAGCTCTTTGAAGGTTGCAGTCCAAGAACACATGCTGGCAAATAGATTCAGACCAATTTGTAGGACTATAGAATGATTTCTCTCCCTTCCACACTGACAAACACATTAAAATATCTCATGTATGATAACAGAGGATGCACATGGAAGGATGACAAGCCTCAAATCCTGTTTAACAATGAATCTGTAGAAAAGCCAAAGATAACAGAGGACACAAAAATAAGAACACTAGAGCAAATTATGGCCTCTGACATCAGAGGTAAAACTAGCGATAAACATAGCCTAACACATAAACATAAACTTCACACTAAACGCCTGTTTATCTTTACCTAACACATCATGTAAATTATGGTAAGAATTGTATCCCCACAGACTCATATATTGAAGTCATACCCCCAACTATCTCAGAATGTACCCTTATTTGGAAATAGGACCATTGCAGATGTAATTAGTTAATTGAAGATGAGAACATACTCTAGTAGAAAGTGTCCCTAATCCAATATGATTGAAGAAAAAGTAGTAACAACATATTTTAATGAGTCATATACTATTGAAACAGAGAAAACAGTCCAGCACGCACTGAACTCAATTTTGATGTATACAGAGTTGACGATCATTTTAAACTTGACGAAACTCTAGCCAGGGTCTTCTGAGCCTTCTCAATTCAGCCTTAACTTTGGTCTATAAAAACTTGAAAAAGACAGGAACATAGTTGGTAACAGTTCAAGTCTACATCTCTAGAACGAACGACCCAGTCTCCCTTAAAGTGAACTGTCTGAGAAAACTGAAACCTGCCTGTCTTCATGGTTCCTATAACAAAAATACCATGGCCTTACACAACACTTATTTCTCACATTTCCACAGATTGGAAAGTCCACAATAAAGGTGCCAGCCAGTTTGGTCTGTAAGGACCCATTTTCTGATTTATAGAGCATGGTCTTCTTGCTGTGCCCTCACATGGCAGAAGAGGCAAGAAAGCTCTCTGGAGTCTCTTTTATGAGGTCACTAAGGCCATTCATGAGTTCATCACTCATGATCTAATCAACCCCCAAAGACTTCCTCTCCCAATATCATCACATTGGGGTTTAAGATTTCAACATATAACTTATGTAAGTACACAGACAATCTATAGCATGCTTGTCCCAGCCAAGACTTGAAGATAGGCCTGGTGTCTCCTGACCTCTGTGGGAGGGTAGAAGCCCAACATCAGCAAGTATCAGTTAACAAAGCAAATGGGTTTCACAGGAACCAACTCCCCCCTTCTCACGATTTGTAATTTCTCACATCCCTGACCCTCCTGAGCCCCCACTAACTCCCATTTCTCTTTCCTCAAACTCCCTTTAACATTTTCCTCAACCTGGATACATCAAAGTTAAGTTCATGCTGAACTCTTGCCTGTTTCAATAGTATATGACTAGTTAAAGCACGTTCTTACCTCTTTAACCAGTTTTCCATTTTGTTTGTCTTGACAGTTATCTGGCACTGGAACTCAAATCCAGATTGGAACCCTTATCTGGCCCTTGGACAAAACAGTCAATCCTTTCTGCATGCGTAGAAACCTTTGTCTGATCTTCAGTTGACTTACTTTTTTGGGTATTTGGTGGCGAGTTCAACTTCTGGCCTAACACTGTGTAGAAATTTGCACTGAGGCATGGCGAGGACATATTTTCTTCCTATGTTTCTGGCTGTAGTCTCTAAGGCTGGGTTATAATTCCAGGCTGCTTTTGAAAGACATCTCCTGGGCTGGCTGTTTATCTTCCTGGCTCCCTGTTTTCAGTGGGAATTCACTTCCTAACTCCTGTGCTGGAATGTTCACTCTGGCTTCTTGTGAGACCTCTTCATTCTATTTGAACTTACTCTTCCCACAGGAACTCCACAGTTAAACCCCTTTTGGGTTCCTACTCTCTATATATACTATGACACTAACCATGTCTGCTTCTATTTTAGGCAAAATGACTTTACTGTGGATAATTCGGAACTGCAATGGTTTATTTGAAAATCTTAAGATCTGCCTAAAGTGGCTCTTATAGGACTGCTCCCTTCCCATTTCCTTCTTTTTTCCTTCTTTCTTTTACCATCTTAACTTTTTCCATTGAACTCCCCTGACACTTTGATATGCACCTCTTTTCCATTAAACACCCCTGACTTTTGATATATACCCATCCTTTTACCCCTACCAGATGTTTCACTTACCTCTTTAGCCCCTCGACTCCCTATAGTCACTGGAACGTATGCCTCCTGATTCACAGGGGGTTCTCGAGAGACTGATGCACACACAAAGCAACACACGGGGCTTCCTGGAAACAGAGATATAATCTACAGCCTGTGTAAGATTACATTTTAGGTGAAAAACCCACAAATACCCCAAAATATGTTACTAATTAAAATCTGTCCTCACTACCTTAACCAGTGTCTGGGCTTTACCTTTGAAACTGGTGTCCTTATTTAAAAAAAGTTGGACATGCACCCAGGAATATTATCTTTTGAAGATAAAGGAATAGATTGAAGTAATGCTACTTCAAGCCAAGGAATGCCAAAGGTTGTCATCAAACTACCAGAATGCTATGGTACGCATAGCAAATGAATACATCAGCTTTCAACAACATCATCAAAAATTACAAGTCATGGTAGCAGGCAAAAAATATGCTTTAAAAAGAAAAACAAAATTAGAAAAGGACTTGGACATGGCAAGCCAATCATGTGATTTCTTGATGTTTCTTCTGTGTTTTCTGCCTAGAAAAACCCACTGCACTCACTGCTGGGTGGATCTATCTGAACCTCTTATGGCTCTGAGTGCCATCTGAAAAAGATGATGGTTCCCTTTACCTTGAGTCGTTTTCCCCAGATACACTAGAACCCATTATTTCAGTTCTTTTAGGTCTCTTCTGTGCTATTCGATTATCAGAAAAGATTTCAATGACCAATGAATAAAAATGACTGATCTGTCCCTTATGCTGTCTTATTTTTCTTCATAAAATTAACAATCTTGAACATATTTTTTACAATTGTTTCTCTTTTCCACAATATAGTGTCATATTAATAAGATGAGACATTTTGCTCATTTTTATCACTGCTGTGTGCTGAAAGCCTAACACAGTGGTAGCCCCAAAGTAGATGCTCAAAAATAAATATGCTCTGAATGAGTATATTTAGTCATTTCCTGGAAGGAGAGGCTGGGTCAAACAGAGTGCTAAGGACTCAGAATCCTTACTGCTAGAATGACAATGAAATGACAGCATCATGTTAGTGGCACATTTAAAATGAAACAGTATCAATATTGAAAATATTTGTAAGGCTTATTTGAAAAAAGAAAATCATAACACATTTACCTATAATTCAGAAATTTAAATTTCTAGATAATTTCTAAGATTAAGGTTTTTTAATTTCTTAAACTTTTAGATAACCATTTTAAAGAATATATATTGTATATATCTCTGTTATTAAAAAGTAATTGAAAGTAATTACTTCATATTATATTAAGGCATTATAGCTATAAATATGGTGTAAACTGTAATGGTTATTCTGCCCTTTCTTCTCTTGCTACCTCCTGCCATCCTAAGAGAAGTTGCCTTAAGCAGAATTGTCTCATCCCGATCCCCAGAATCACTCTATCCACTCACACATTATCTTTCCCAAGCTTGAGGAAAAAATAACAGAGTGAGAGACGAAGATTATGTATTATTATTGCGACTCTTGGTGTTTGCAAAATTCCAAAATACTGAGATATGGCTAAATAAAATTCTATGCAACTTCTTTTGAATGCATGAATGTATATATTTATGTAAGTTTTATTTTGTTTACATTTTGTTTTGGTAATTAGAGTTTTATTTCCCTTGGTGACAGAACTTTCTGTTGTCTTTCAGATGAGTATATTTTTGATTTTGATTTAAATATAATTTCCCAAAATAAACATTTTTGACTTATACCTATTTTATGTTTTTTATGATGTCAAGTCCATGGCATTTGTTCAGGGCGAGACTTTAATGACTGAACTTCATGATTATCTTTCTACTTGCCAAACACTTCATTTATCTTTCCCATTATTCAAGAGCTGCTATATCCTTGAGTTTGATATTCTTTATCTGGAATTCAATGCAAAGCTCTGCTAAGTGGTCATGATGATCCAAGAGTGGATGTTAGAATTCTAGGATGCCACAGGTCTTTCTCTTTCCATAAATCTTAAAGTCTGTAGGTTTATGAAAGACAGTTTTGTCACAGCCAGTTAGATTCATGGGTTAGCATTGTGGTGTAAGGAGGTGAATATAATGAATGAACTCAGCAATGAACAGGTTTTCTGATGCCAGAAGAAGTTTTCCCTGCGTGTTCTATAGGTCTTGTGCCGTGTATCAAGTATTTCTTCTCTTGATCTACTGTGCAATGGGTATAAGGTTTCAGTGACACAAGATGAAGTCCTAGAGATTGGCTGTGCAGCACCGTGCCTGGAGTTCACAGTACTGAATCGTGCACTGAAAAAGTGTAAGAGGGTAAATTTCCTGTTAAGTGCTCTCACCACACTAAATAAATAAAATTTATCATGAGCCAGGCACTGAACTAAGCTCAGGATATATTATGATGAACAAATTTAGACATGACAAACGATCTCAATAAAACTTAAAATGTTTTGCTACAATAATCACCTGGAAAAAAAAGTCAGTCTTCTCTACAGTATAATGTGGATGGACACAAATGAGTGGTTTTAAGATTATGTTTCCTTCCCTTGTTTTTAAAAAACATTTATAATAAGTAAAATTCTTCAACAAGAGCAAAATCATATCAGTTTCTAGTATCAGTGTTTGCCAAAGACTGCTCTTTAAAATAAAGGGATCACCTCAGTCCAATCTACTTGACATGATCCTACCTTGTCAGACAAGCTAGTCAAGATTTGGAAAAGGCAACTACATTTCAATCCTTTGAAAATCTACATAATCCTAAGCACAGACTTATCAGGATTGGTAATGGGTCAAGTTTAGGGACACGTTACAATTACAATGTAATTTTTGGCTGTAGTTGATCAGCAAGTTTACATCCATATATTCATCCAAGTTGCTCTTCCTCAAAAAAATTAATATGTTGACATTTCTACCTGCAAGATTTGTGATTCATGTTTTAATTATTACAATTTTCATATAACATGTTTTAGAATACCTGATATTGTGGGTGATCTCAATTTCTTCCTGGGTGATCTTTCCTGGTTTAATATTTGTATGATTCCAATGATAAATCTCAGATAATATAAATAGCAAAAAATTAAAATACTGAGAAAATAATATACAACTTATTAGGGGAGAAAGAGGAAGAGATGCTCCCTTAGTGGCACACAGAAGGTGGGATGCCTGGTCTGCTTTTTCTATATTTTTGCATATTTGGGGTTCAGAAAACTGAAACCCATAGAGTCACCATATGCTACATACACTGAACCTAAAGTAATAAGTAGTTCTGAAAGAGAACAGAGGAGAAGAGGGACTCCCTACAGGGATAAATGGTCCAGACTTAAGGTATGGCTTATTTATGCTTTCAACACCCCAGGGACTACAATCCCAGCTGACCAATTAAACTTCGAGAGTTTCAGTGGAGATTTAAGGTCCTGGGATTACTTCTGGAAAAAAATTAAAAAGCTTACCGTGCAATTGGCCCAATACTCAAACCAAAATCTAATGGACAGAAAATATACAATTTACAAACTTGTGCTTTTTTTAAATGTTAATTAAAAATATGTTTATTAAACCCACAGATTTTTTTAGTTGGAAATTTTAAAATTAAATTTGATTAATGAAAAAATAAAATATAAGGAAAAATGACATTTGGAAGCAAAATGAAGAATTTCAGAAGAAAGAAAACATTCAACTAAATGATCTTTTGAACATATTGAATTCAGTTTGCTAGTGTTGAGAATCTTTACATCCATGATCATAAAATAAATTGGCCTGTAATTTTCTTATACCGTCCTTGTCTGACATTGGTGTTAGGGTAATGCATGAAAAAATGTGTTGGAAAGTGCACCCTTTTTAATTGTTTGGAAAAGTTTGAGAATAGCATTAATCTGTCTTTAGATATTTGGTAGCAATCACCAGTAAAAGCATCAAGTCCTGAACTTTTAAGTTTATTATTATTATTATTGGTGATTTAATCTCTGTACTAGTTATTAATTTGTTCAGGTTTATTCTTTCTTCAGGACATACATGTCTAAGAATTTATCCATTTCTTCTACGTTACTCAATTTATTGACATAATTGGTCATGATAATCTCTTATGACCCTTTGTATTTTGGTAGTATTGACTAATTTCTCCTGCTTTACTTATAGTTTTATTTGAGTCATCTCTCTTAGTTTTCTTGGTTTGTCTACCTAAAGGTTTGCCAATTTTCCTCACGTTTTTACAGAACCAACTCCTCGTGTTACTGATCTTTTCTTTTGTCTTTCTTATCTGTTTAATTCTGCTCTAACCTTTATAACTTTCTTCTTTCTTCTAACTTTTGGCTTTTTTCTTCTTTTCTAATTCCCAGAGTGCCAAGTTAGGTTGCTTATTTGGGATCATTTCTCTCTCTGTCTCAGTAGCTATCAGAACTACTTTTGCTGTACCCCATGATTTGGTATGTTATTTGTCCATTTTTGTTTGTCTCAGGATATTTTTAAATTGTCTTTATTTTTGGGTCCATTTGTTGTTTATGAGTGTTGAGAGTGGGGTATTATAATCCCCTACTATTATCATATTGCTGTTTATTTCTTTTTTGTGTTCTGCTCATGTCTGCTCCATCCATTTTGGTGTTCCAATGTTTCCTGGGCCTATATTGAGGCACCCTAACTAATAACACTTTGCACATCAATTCATCTCATTTCTCACAAAAGCAAACAGAACAAAACTGTTCAAACATACATAAGGGAGTCCTAGTTGCTGATACAAACTTTTAGATAGTCTTCCAATCTTTTTATCCTACTTTAATTCTCCAATGATATAATAAACATCCAAGACAAAAAAAATGAAAAAAGCACAAATGATTCCTTCACTGAAATCAGGAGACAAAGGCAATCCATCAACTATAAATTACATGTAAGGAAGGGGAAGAAAGTCACGGACACTCATCAGAATTGGTACAGAAACTCCATATTGGAAGCAGGAAGTCCGGCAGAGAAGAGACCCAGTCAAGGTCACTGGTGGTGGTAATGATAAAAAATACCAGGAAATATTATTCCCCAAGAAGGAGAGGGTCCTCTCACAAGTGTAAACTGCTATACCCAAGCCTGATGAACACGGAGCCAGGTAGCAATCTGAGGATTATTGAAGAGATAGATGCAGGGAGTATACCTGGGAAAGAAGTGGTGGAGATAACAGGACAATCTTGCCTAAACTAAGGGGGTCACCATCCCAGGCATAACCACGAATAGGAAGGTGGTAGAAATGAACATGGAGAAGACAGCAGGAATGCATACAATGAAGCTGTAGGGCTTGAGAAACAAGAATATTCCCCAATGCCTGCAAGCCCTATGCAATCCACCTGGTAACAACTGGAAAGGCAAATCAAATTCTTAAAAATGAAATTAGAAAATGCAACGTCTTTCCAAAAATACTATAGAAAAAAAATAAATCTACCCCAAAATTATTGCCTTAAATCGGAGCTAAATACTGATATAAACTTCAAATACTCTACAACCCCAAATCCTTAATAAAGCAGTTTTATAAATGAGAAAACATTTTAAAACAGAAATATGACGGTTCAGAGAACTGATGACCCACTAAAAAGAGACGACAATCGGCCAACAGAAAGATGTGAAATGGGAATCACCCTGAGTCAGGAGAGAATTTAAAGGGAGTGATGGGGACGAAGCTGAATGGCTGCTCCGTGGCTTGTGAGTGATTGTAAAATAATAAAGATGATGGAGAAAATATAAAAGCAAGTGTAAAGAAATAGTGATAAGCACTAGTGTAAACATATTGGCTACAATTGAATGATGAAGGAAAGGAGAATAGACATATCTTCTGAAATATTTTCTGTTCTTCCTTATGCTAGGAAACTAGTAGATACTGTGTAAAGAGAGGGAAATTAAGGATATTTTAGTCTTATAAAATATGTTTTATGCATAGGTATTTGTACATAATATACACATTTTGTTAAATAGAAAATATTAAATACCACACAATGAAATAATTTTGAAATAAAGGCAAAGAGTTGATTTTGTCTTCTTACTGCAAAGAATTATAAGTATGTGAGGTGATGCATATGTTAATTACCTCAATTTACCCATTCCACACAATATACATATTTTAAAATATCACATTGTACATGATAAATATATACAATTTTATTTGTTCATCACAAAAATTTAAAAATGGCAATTAAAATAAAGGTAATAACAAAGTGTGAGGGAATATGATTAAACTAATGGGGTATATCAATAAACACAATGCATTTAATACACTGAATAAAGAAAAAAAGATTACTATTCTCTCTGCCTGGTGGTCTCTTTTCCGATACGTTGTGACCCATTTCTTCAACTGATTTAGGTCTCTCTTCTCTGCTCTCTTGATTATCAGAGAAGACATCTCTGAGCAGTGAATATAAAACAGTAATTATCTCCTACACACCCTATTTTACTCTTCTTTATAATGTTTATCATTCCTGATAGTTTTTTTGCGATTATTATCTCTTCTCTACCATAGAATGTAAGATCCAGGAGATAAAGCATTTTACCATTTTTATCACTAGTGTCTTTCCAATGCCTAAAATATAGCACCTATTCCAAAACAGACGCTCAAAAATAAATGTTTCTTGAGTCAATGCATTTATTCATTTTTGAGGAGGAGAGATTGGGTTAAACAAGAGGGTTAAAAACTCAGAATAGAATGACAACCAAACGAGAGCATAGTCAGTATTAATACAGAAAATATTTACAAGACCTACTTGAAAGAAGATATAGTTGTAACACATTTTCCATGATTGTTGAGAAATTTATATTTCTGGGTACATTAACTTCTTAGGCAACTAGAGCTTACTTGTTTAATTCTTTAAGCTTAATAAATTTTAAAGTATGGAGTACAATATGCCAAGTGAAACAAGTCAGGCACAGAAAGAAAAATGCAGCATGAGCTCATTTATGTGTAAAATAAATGGAAATTGAGTAAGATAAATAGGGAGTTGAAGGGCAGTTGCCAGAGTCAGGGAAGTAGACAAATTGGGATAATGTAGGTAAAAGAAGACAAAATTACAGTTATGTAACATAAAGATATTTAGAGATCTAATGTACAACAGAAGGACTATAGTTCTATTTTATTATACATTACAAATTTGCTAAGAGAATAACTAGATTATATGTGTTTTTATCACAAAAAAGTAAACTGCAGACAGTGATGGATGTGTTAATTTGCTAGCATGTGGTAATTATTTCACTATAGATATCTACATCAAAACATGTTGTACATCTTGAGTTTATACAATAAAAAAAAAATACTCGATTTAATGACCAATCTGGACTTATTTATTTTAATGTTTATTTAAAATATTTCATGCTGTCTGTGGCCTGGTATTTGGGAGAAAGGGGGATAAAATACTTCAATCAATCATGTCAACACAATTTTTGATGAGAAATTGAAAACTGAATTGTTCAAATTGTTCCAGTTCTCAAGAGGAATGCTTCCAGATTTTACTTGTTTAGTATGATGGTGGCTGTGGGTGTGTCATAGATGGCTCTTATTTTTTTGAGATAAGTTCATTTGGTGCCCAGTATATTGAGGGTTTTTAAGAAGAAAGGATGCTGAATGTTATGAAAAATCATTTTGCTTCTATTGAGATGATCATGTGATTTTTGTATTTAATTATGTTTATGTGGTGAATCACATTTACTGATTTGCACTTGTTGAACCAACCTTGCATCCCAGAAATAAAGCCTACTTGATCGTGGTGAATTCACTTTTTGATGTGCTGCTGGATTTGGTTTGCTGGTATTTCGTGGAGGATTGTGTGTCTATATTCCTCAGGAATGTTGGCCCGAACTTTACTTTTTTTTGTCGTATTTGTGCCTAATTTTGGTATCAGAATGATGCTGGCTTCACAGAATGACTTAGAGAGTATTCCCTTCTCAATTTTTAAAATAATTTCAGAAGATTTTGTACCAACTCTTATTTATATGTCTGGTAGGAGTTGGTTGTTAATCCGTCTGGTCCAGGGCTTGTTTTGGTTGGTAGGTTTTTTTTAATCACTGACTTAATTTCAGAACCCATTATTGGTCTGTTCAGGATTTCAATTTCTTCCTGGCTTAATGTCAGGAGGTTAAATAATCTTGGGTGGAGAAATAGATAAATTCCTTGTTTCGAGGGATTTATATATTTCTTCTAGGTTTTCTAGTTTGTCTGCAGAGAGGTGTTCATAATAGTCCCTTAGGGTTTTTTGTACTTCTATGTAGTTGGTTGTATTTCAACTTTGTCATTCCTGAATTTATTAAGCATATGAAAATAATAAACTATAAAGGAATAAAGAAAATAGATTTAGAAGAAAAGAAAGTGTTCAAGGAAATTAAAAAGCATATTGAATCATAATTTTATACTTTAAATTGTTTTATCTGTGAATATAACATTTTATCATATACTATACATGAAGATAAACAGATACTTCGTGCAGTTGGTAACCGAAAGATAGCCAGAGTGGCTATGTTAATGTGAGACAAAGTGAGTTTATGACAAAAATTTTTATAAGTAAAAAAAAAATCGTATACTGTTTGGGATCATTTGTGTATCTTCCTTGGAGAATGTAATATAGATCTTTAGATATAAAAATTGTAAACATGAATGAATGTAACAGAGACCCAAAATATATGAAGCCAAGGTGGACAGAATTAAAGGAAGAAATAAACAGTTCTGTACTTATAGTTCAATACTTAAATGTCCATTTTCAATAATGCATAGTGCACTTAGACAGAATGTTAATATAGTAGTAAGTGACTAGAACAGCACTATAAACCAAATGACCTAATATATATGTGGAGAATACTGAAATAGCAGAGTATAGATGCTTCTCAAGTACTAATAACACATTCTCCAGGATAAATTGCCAAAAACAAATAAGACTAAATTTTAAAAGATTTAATTCAAAGTATCTTTTCCAATCAATGAAATAAAACTGGAAATCTGAAATAGAGGGAGAACTACAAAAGTTACACATATGTGGGGATTAAACACCACACTGTGAAGCACCGGTGGGTCAAAAAAGAAATTGGAAATGAAGTTAGAAAATATATTCAGATGACTTAAAACATAACAAAACATATAGGATGCAGCTAAAGCAACTCTTAGAAGGAAAATTTTAGCTAGATTGCCTATACTCAAAAAAAGA
Source organism: Homo sapiens (assembly GCF_000001405.40). NCBI lineage: Eukaryota > Metazoa > Chordata > Mammalia > Primates > Hominidae > Homo > Homo sapiens. The sequence goes on along the minus strand of NC_000001.11, from coordinate 248,502,254 downwards.
AGAAACATCTAAAAACAATAATATATTTTTACACCTTAAGGAACTAGAAAAAGAAGAGCAGACTCAATACAAAGCAAACAGAAGGAAAAAAAAGTATTGGAATAGAGATTAATAAAATGCAGAATAGAAAAAACAATTTGACTATTTCGAGCTTTCAAAAGATCAACAAAATATAGAAAACTTTAGGTAAACTTACCAAAGAGAGAAAGAGAGAAGTCTTACATCATGAATACATAAATATGAATATAACATGGGTACATAACAACTAGCCTTTCAGAAACACAAGCAATTATAAGAGAATATTACAAATAATTGAATACTAACTAGATACCTTCAGTGAGATGAAAACCAAATCCTGGAAACACAGAAACTACCAACACTTACTCAAGAAGAAACTTAAAGTAGTGTTAAACAACACACTGAAAATTACAAAGCACTGCTAATAGCAAATAAAACATAAACTGATGAAACAACATCGCATGTTAATGGATTGGGAGACTTGTGGTTAAGATAATACAACCAAAATATATCCACAGGTTCAATACAATGCCTATAAAAATTCCATGCCTTTTTTTTTTTTTTGCAAGAGTAGAAAACACTAAAAATCATATGAAATTACGAGCGACTGCAAAATCCAAAACAACCTTGAATAGAAAAACAAAGTTGGAAGATTTACACTTCCTGAGTACAAAATTTGCCAAAAAGATACACTAATTTTAAAAGCCTGATAACAGAATAAGGATATATGCATAAATAAATAGAAGACAATTGAGAATCTAATGAGAAATACACGCATGTGTCTATGGTCAATAATCATCTGACAAGTGTGCCACGTCCATTCAATGGGAAAAGAATACTCACTTTAACAAATTGTGCTCAGACAAGAAGATATCCACAAACAAAAGAATGAAGTGGCATTACAAATCATACTTAAACTCAAATTGATCAGGGACCTAAACATAAGAAGTAAAATTATAAAAATATGAGAAAAGATGAAGTTAAATATTCAAGACCTTAAGTTTAGCATTTTTTTTAGCATGATACCGAAAGAACGAGCAATAAGAAAATAAATAATTGGACCTCATCTAACTTCAAAATTTTTGTGCTTCAAAGGTCTCAATCAAAAAAGTGAAAAGAGAGGAGAGTGGGAAAGCTGGCAGAACGGAATTCTTTAACAATTGTATCCCCATAGAAACATCAATTTTAATAACTATTCTTACACTACATACCTTCACAAAAGCTAGTAAAGCCATGTGAGAGATCATTGTACCTAGTTATACTATTTTCTTCTTGTGATAAAATAATAAACATTGAAGAGGGCAGGAAGGAGAGTTCTGATTACCTGCATTTCTTATCCCCAACCTCAGACAGCACAGTGCAGGGAGAGATACCAAACACTTGGGGAATAAAAAGGGAAGTAAGTGTGGGACTTGGTCTTGGTGCCCAACACTAGGCCCACTACAGAAAAACTGAAAACCAGGCAGCCCCCACAACCACTGACTCCAGGCCAGTACACAAAGACCGAGCCTCCAGATCTACACCAACACTAGGCAGAAACCATGCAAAGCAGAATTAATTTGCAGTCATCATCACTGCCACCCACCCAGAGTGGCCTTAAGCTCTGGAAAGTATCCACTGGCAGGCAGGCCTCAGTGAACATGGGCTTCAGACTTGCATCAGTGCTGCACCAGCCCCAGTGGCCACAGGATATCATCTGGGACCCACACCAGTTCCAGTGGCCATGGGATTACAGCACTGCACTGCACCAGTCGTGGCAGTCCCAGGCTTAGGGCACCACCTAGGGCTGCCCCCACCACAGCAAACTAGAGCTTAGGGACCACACCAGACAACCTGCTCAGAATCTCTAGACAGGCTTACTATTGAAGAATGTTTCAGGATAAAACAAGTCTGCAAAGACTGGAATAAGTACCTATTATATTAGATGCATGACTGCAGACGCAAGAGAAATCAAGGAAGCATACATCACCAAGCAAACAAATGGAGATGCATAAACTACCTGACAAAGCATTTGAAATAACAGTCTTAGGGAAGCTCAGCAAACTTCAAGAAAATACACAGAAACTATTCAAACAAACGATAAAAATAATATGACCACAATGATAAACTTAGCAAATATTGGAATAACTTAAAAATCAAACAAATTCTAAAGCTGCAAAATATAATGAACAAAATGTAAACTGCAGTTGAGACCATCAACAGCAGAATGGATCAAGCCAATGAATCTGTGAACTCAAATACAGGTTATATGAAAATAGAGAAGAGAAAAGAATGAAAAATAATAAAGGAAACATGAGATTTACTGGACAGCAACAAAACAGCAAATTTTTGAGTCATTGGAGATAAGGGAGTTGAAATGATAAAGGAGTAGAAAGCTTATATGAAGAAATAATAGAAAACTTTTCAAACCTGGAAAAAGATATAAATAACCAGGTACAGTGAGGTAAAAAGTAACCAATCAGATTCAATCCAAACAAAACTACCCCTAAGACATATTATAATCAAACCACCAAAAATTGAAGGGAAGCTTCTCTGTATTGGTGGAAGGTAGGTAGGGCTTTTCTAGCCCCTACTTCCACTCTATCCCCTGAGTTCCACCTGCACTGACTCGAGGAAGAGTAAGCATCTAGAGCTAGTGAGAATGGGAGGAACTTACAAAGTCAAGAGAGAAGCCTATTGTTCCTTGCTCACCCACAGATTACGTACTATTACTCAAGGCTTGCTGTATTTATTATAGAAGAGAAAATCTTCTTGTATTATATATCAGCTGAGTTATTGCTTATCTGAGAATCACCAGAAGTTTCCACCCGAGACAGGATAAGAGAATAGAGCCAACATGTTGGGATTTCCAGAGCAATCAAGAGAAAAGAAAATCTATTGTGTTATTATTGCCCCTGAGAAATCACACTTTTGTCTTTCCTAGGAAGCTGATGCTTACAACAATGGAGATTAGCAATACCTGGACAGAGTTGAGCTTCAAAGGATACTGAGAAATGGCTAAAGCAGGTAAAAAGAGAGAAGACTGGAACTTTGTCTATGCTTATCATCTAGCTTCAAGGAGAAACACAGTTGAGTTCAGCCATTTTGAAACAATGGTTAGAAACTAGATAAAAAGTTCTTAAGCTTTTCATTATTTATTTATTTATTTATTTTTGAGACAGAGTCTTGCTCTGTGTCCCAGGCTGCAGTGCAGTGGTGAGATCTCTGCTCACTGCAACCTCCGCCTCCCGGGCTCAAGTGATTCTCCCACATCAGCCTCCCAAGTAGCTGGGGTTGCAGGTACCTACCACCGTGCCTGGCTAAGTTTTCTATTTTTAGTAGAGAAAGGGCTTCACGATGTTGGCCAGGCTGGTTTCAAACTCCTGACCTTAAATGATCTGCCAGCCTAGGCCTCTCAAAGTGCTGGGATTACAGGCATGAGCCCCCGCACCCAGCCCTTAAGCTTTTTATGAGCAAATTAATATTTCAAATTAAATTGAACCAAATGGTTTTCTCATACGATGGAGCAACATTCCTCATGCTGGAAAATGAGATGCTCCTGAAGTCTTTGCATCTTGGCCCTCTACCGTTGTTTTCCACATTGATATTTATGTGTTCTGTTTAGAGACTTGATGTGTTCCCAGAACTTTCTGAAGAGCCCCACCACATCCTTGTTTCTCAGGATGTAGATGAGGGGGTTTAGCATGGGGGTGAGTACAGTGCAAAATACAGACACAGCTTGTTTCTGCTCAGGGATGTGGGAGAAACCCTGTGTCACGTATATTAAACACACAGTTCCTAAGTAAAGACCACGGAAAGATGGGAGGAGCAGTTGGCCAAAGCTTTGTTCCTACTTTAGGGGGATTTCATATGGAGGACTGTAAGGAAGATGAGGTATGAGAGGCCACAAGTCCAAGATGAAATGGATAAGAAGTAGAGAGCCACAGGCCAAGATCAAATGGGTAAAAAGTAGAGAGCCTGCATTTGAACCAGGTAGTCTGACTCAGGGTCCACACATCATCTCAATCATGGATGACTACCACAGACAGCTTGTTCCTTTCTCATCCCCATATTCTGGCTTCTCTCTTGCCATGTACACCTCCCCTTAGTCTCCATACCTGGGGCCACCTGCCCCCACAATCCTGTTCCCATAATATCTCACCTTGAATGAAGAGCTAAGCCAGGAAGGAAGCATCTGAAATAGTGTTGAAGAAAAGCTGAAGTGAGTGGAGAAGGACATCACTTTGTGTCCTTTATTTCTGTTGGCCAATGCCTGTCTCCCGGTCTAGACCCTACCACCTACAGGTGAGGCCTCAAGCACAGCTCATCTCTGCACTGTCTCCATGTAGAACCAATGTCCCTGCTCAGATTAGATATATGAAATCCCCTAGTTGTAGATGTGGGGGCCTATGGAAATGAACCTCTCATAAACTGCTGAAGGGTACAAATTAACACAGCTTGAGAGAAATGGCCTGGAGTGAGCTTCACTTCACACTAGGCCAGGACCACATTATTACTCCCAACAAAATAGTTTGTTTATAATCCTTTTCGTGGACTCCAGAAGAGGAAGATGGCAGATAGGAGGCAGGACTAACTTGCAGCTCCCACTTGGATGGACAGAGCAGCATGTGGAGATTCACGCTGTGAACTTTTGCTCCAAGAACTACCATAGGACATACCAGGAAAGCCAAGAGAATCCAAAGACCCTTTGAAGGAGGTGGCGGCCACTGTAGGCTCCGTGCCAAAGACTGAGTGCCAAAATGTGTGAAAGTGTAAAAGGGGGATGCTCCACCCCCAAGCACAGATCCTCACTGGGGAACCTGACGGTCCACATGGTGGGAAAAGGATTTAATCTTACGCGGAGCTAAGAGGAATTTAGAGAGCCAAGCAAAATATTCGAGTAGAGGAAACAACAAGAAGAGCCCTGTGGGAAACCATTTCGGACTTTGTCTTGCAGGGGTCCTTTGGGAGGGCTGCCAGTGGAATTGGGGAAAGACTACAAGGAGAAGCAAGCTTTCAGATGAATTTTGTAATAATCTTGACTAACGTGAAGCTTCCTGGACAGAACCTGGGGGAGGGGGCAAACTGGGAGTGCAGATACAAGCTCAGAAGCTGAGGCAGGCAGAGAGGCATGAAACCTAAAAGCCCTGCTTGCTTTCTTCATGAGGGGCTTGTAGCCTGGGGCAAGTTCTCAGCCCTGCTCACCAGCTGCCTGGAAAAAACTCAGTGCTACTGGGGGCACAAGGTGGGAGTGAGACTGGCCTTTTGGGCTGCCTGGGAGCTGAGTGAAGCATGTAACTGCCCGTTCCCCCCCTTCTCTGGTGACCTGCATGACCCAGCAGAGGCACTCATAATCCCCGTGGAAACATAACTCCATCAGTCTGAGGACCACACCCCAATCCCACACAGCAGCCACACAGCAAGCCCCGCCCAAGGAGAGTCTCAGCTCAGACACGCCTAACACTGCCCCCACCTCTTGGCCTTTCTCTACCCACCCTGGGAGCCAAAGACAAAGGACATAATCTCATGGGAGCTCTGAGGCCCGGCCCATTGCCTGAGAAATCTGGATACTTATCCAGGTAACCCTAAGGCAAGCTCGTATCTTCCCTACACTACTGCAGCTGATGCAACTCTTGAAAGAATCAACTGCTGGCTGGAGACCAACCAGCAAACTTATCAAAAATACAGCCAAGGACCCTCACAGAGTCCACTTCACTCCCCTGCTCCCTCCACCACAGCATGTGCTGGTATCCATGGCTGAGAGACCTGAAGACAGATCATACCACAAGACTCTTTGCAGACACTCTCCGGTACCAGCCAGTACCAGAGCACAGTAGCTTCGCTGGGTGGTTAGATGTGGAAGAGAAATAACAATCTCTGCACTTTGTTTCTCAGGAACCCCCATCCCTAGAAGAAGGGGTAGAGCACCACATCAAGGGAGCACCCCATGGGACAAAAGAATCTCAACAGCAGCCCTTTAGCCCCAGAACTTCCCTCTCACATAGTCTACCCAAATGAGAAAAATCCAGGAAAACCATTCTGAAAATATGACAAAACAAGGTTTTCTGACACCCCCAAAGATCACACTAGCTCACCAGCAATGGATTCAAACAAAGGAGAAATTTCTGAATTGCCAGAAAAAGAATTAAGAAGGTCAATTATTAAGCTACTCAACAAAGTACCAGAGAAAGGTGAATACCAACTTAAATTTAAAAATGTGTTACAGGACATGAATGGAAAAATCTCCGGAGAAACAGATAGCATAAATAAAAAACAATCACAACTGCTGGAAATCAAGAACACACTAGAAAAATGCAAAATACACTGGAAAATCTCAGAAATAGAATCAAACAAGTAGAAGAAACAAGTTCAGAGCTTGAAGACAAGGCTATTGAACTAACCGAATCCAGCAAAGACAATTAAAAAACACACCTTTAACTGTGTTTTCTTATACTTCGGGCTTTTTGTAGGTTAATGACTTTTCTTAATTCCTAAGTACCATCTGAGTAATTAGTCACATGGTTATAAAGAATATCAAATGTCAGACTAAATTCTTTTCAAGCTTCCCTCAGCAGCTTAAAGTTGAAACTTTTTCATTCCTTCTTCTATAATCTTGGGTATTTGAAATGGGTATTCTCCCACTTGAACATAGGCAAAATCTAATTTCTTGTCTCTACCCTATGGAATCTCGTTTAGTAATTATTTCTAAACTTATCCTGATGCCATGCATCGTTGGTTTGTTATAAGTATATCTAAAGGAGTACACAACATTTACTAAAGAAACACATTCCCCGTGTGATGTGTCCTGATAAGAAAAATGACCTCCAAATTTACATTCCTGTACAGGTATGATGATTTCACTCTACCATACTTTATTTTATACCCATCTATTGTTTCTTCCAGAAATATACATAACTGGAGTCATAGCCAAAACTTGTATTGCCTGGGCCTATTTGAGCATAAACAGCAGGTATTAGACCTAAATAGGGGGTCTTCTGCCAACTTGGGTGTGTTAGGAAACATGAACAATATTCAAAATGGCCTGCAGGACTCCAGTTTCAAAGTGAAAGATACCATGTCCATCCAAGACATTGCAGTTTGCCTTTCCCTGATGATTAGTGATGTTGAGCACTTTGTCATATACGTGCTAGCCATTTGTATGTCTTCTTTTGAAATATGTTTTTTGATGTCTTTTGCCCATTTTTTAAATCAAATTATTTGTGGGATAATTTTGGTACTCAGTTACTTGAGTTCTTTATATATTCTGGATATGAACCCCTTGTCAAATGCATTGTTGGCAAATCTTTTCTCCCACTCGTATGTTATCTATTCACTCTGTGAATTGTTTTCGTTATTGTGAAGAACCTTTCAGTATGATGTAATCTCATTTTTTAATTTTTTAATTTTTCCCTGTGATTTTGAGGTTCTACTTTAAAAATTCTTGCCCAGATCAATGTAGTGATGATGCATTCTGCCTGTGTTTTCTACCAGAAGTTTTACAGTTTAAGATCTGATATTAAAGTCTTTAATCCAATTTGAGTTTAAAATAGTGAAATAAGTGTCTAGTTTCATTCTGTATTTGGATATGCATTTTTTGCATCACCATTTATTGAGGAAGTAGTGCTTTTCTTGGTGTATGTTCTTTTCAACTTGGTCAAACATCAGTTGACTATAAATGAGTGAATTTATATCTGGACTCTCAGGGGTTCTCTTCTGTTTGTGTGTCTGCTTTTATGCCAGTACCATTCTCTTTTGATGTTTAATAGCTTGTAGTATATCGGGTAGTATGATGCCTACATATTCATTCATTTTGCTCAGAATTGCATTGGCTATTTGGAGTCTTTTTTGCTTCCATATGAACTTTAGGATTGTTTTTTTCTATCTCTGAAGAATATCTTTTGTATTCGGATAGTGATTGCCTTAATTCTGTAGCTCTCTTTTGGTAGATGGACATTTTAATGATATCAATTCTTCTAATCCACGAACATGGGGAATCTTTCCATTTATTTGTGATCTCTTCAATTTCTTTCATTAGAGTTGTATAGTTTTTCTTGAAGAGATCTTTTACTTTGGCTAAATTTATTCCTAGTTATTTTGTATTTACTTTAGTTTTTGTAAATGGGATTGCCTTATTTCTCTTTCAGATTGCTCACTGTTGGCATATATAAATGCTAATTTTGTATGTTGATTTTGTATCTTGCAAATTTACTGAATTCATTTATCAGTTCTCACAGTTTTTGCTGGTGTCATTAGGATTTTTTTAATATATGACCATGTCATCTGTAAACAGGGAAAATTTCAGTTCCTTCTTTCCAATTTGGAGGCCTTTGTTTCCTTCTTTTACCTAATTGCTCTAAGACCAGACACAGCTTCTCTTTTTTCTCTCCTGAATTCATGGGAATTCAGGATGTTATTGTTTTTGAATAGTTTCCAGTTCTATTTTTGTGGGTGTGGATGAATGATGCTGGAGGATCTTCTATTCATCTATCTTGTTGCTATAACTCCTCTCTATGAGTCTTTCTTAACTTTTTAAAGATACAGTTTGCTGTTAGAGTATAGAAACTCCAATTTCTGTCTGTTGATTTCCTGAAACTTTCCTGAATTTGTTAGGGAATAGTTTTTGTTGAAGGCTTTATGTTTTTTTATATGTAATATTACTTTATTAACAAACAGAAACATGTCACTTCTTCCTTTCCTATTTACATTTCTATTTATTTTTCTTCCCTAATTGCTTTAGCTGGGACTTTCAGTGCTATGTTACATAAAAGTGGCAAGAGTGACCGTTCTGGTCTTTTGCTGGATCTTAGAGAAAAAGCTTTCAACATTTCATCATTAAGTATTATGTCAGCTGTAGGCTTATCATATATGGCCTTTGTTATGGTGAGATACATTCCTTGTATACCTAATTTGTTGAGAGTTTTGGAATTTTGTCAAATGCTTCTCTCCACCTAAATAATCATAAAATTGTATCATTCATTCTGTTACTGTGCTATGTGATGTTTATTAATTGGCATCTGTTGAAGCATCCTTGCATCCCTGGGATGAATCCCATTTTATCATGATGAATGCTTTTTGAAATGTGCTTTTAAATTCAGTTTTCTAGCATTTTTTGAGGAATTTTACATCCATGTTCCCAAATGATATTGACCTGTAGTTCCTTTTTCATTCCCATGTCCTTCTCTGGCTTTGGTATTAGGATAATTCTGGCCTTGTATAATGAATTTGAAAGTATTCCCACTTCTTCAATTTTTTGGAAGTGTTTGAGAATAATTGGTATTAGTTCTTTAAATTTTTGATAGAATTTTGCAATGAGTCCATATTGTCCTGGGCTTTTTTTTTTTTTTTTCTGGTGGGAGACTTTTATTACTACTTCACTGCATTATTCATTATTGGTTTGCTAAGATTTACTATCGTAGGATTTATGTATCAGTCAATTCATGTCTTCCAGCTTATCTAATTTTTGACATGCAATTATTCATTATACTTTCATAATCTTTTGTATTTCTGTGGCCTCAGTTGTAATATATCCTTTGTAAATTTCTGATTTGAACCTTCTTAGTCTAGTTTATTTTGTTTTTTCACAAAACAACTCATCTGATGTTTTGCATTGTTTTTATCATTTTTTTATTTCTCCTCTAATCAATATTAATGTATCTACTAATTTTGAGTTTAGCTTATTCTTGTTTTTCTAGTTAATTAAGGTACAATATTACCTTTCCTTATTTGAAGTCTTTCTTCTTTATTGATGTAGCCATTCATTGCTATAAACTATAAACTTCCTCTTTGAACTGCTTTTGCTGTGTCCTGTAGGTTTTGGTATGTTGAGTTTTCCATTTTTATTTGTCTCAAACAACCTTTTATTTTCCCTTTTAATTTTTTCATTGACCCATCTATTGTTTAGGAGCATATTATTTAATCACCATTTATTTGTAAACTTTCTGAGAATTCTTGCATTCGTTTATAAACTGCTGTGATCAGAAAAGATGATTGATATTATTTTGAACTTCTTATCTTTAAGACTTTTTTGTGGTCAAACATGTGATCTAACCTAGAAAATGTTTCATGTGCAATCGAGTATAATGTGTATTCTGCAGCTACTGAATAAAATGTTTTGCATATGCTTTTTAGGTCCATTGCCCTAGAGTGCAACTTGAAGCTGTTATTTCATTGTTTACCTCCTGTCTGGATAGTCTTTCCATGGCTGAAAGAGGGGTGTTGAAGTTTCTTAGTATTATTTTATTGCTATCTATCCCCTTAGATCTATTAATACTTTATGTATTTAGGTTAATGTTTCATACATAGTCACAATTATTATATACTTTTTGTTGAATTGACTTTTTAATCATTATATATGATCTTCTTTGTCTCTTTCTACAGTTCTGGACTTCAGTCTATTTTATCTGATATAAGCATAGCTACTCCTGCTCTTTTCTGGTTACGACTTGCATGGGATATCCTTTTCAACCACTTCACTTCGTCTGCATATGTCCTTGCAGGTTAAAGTAACCTGTTGTAGTTGGCATTTTTTATACATTCTGCCACCAGATATCTTTTGATTGGATAATTTAATACATTTACATTTAAGATAATTTTTGATACATAGGGACTTAATGCTACAATTTTGTTAGTTTTCCAGTTGTTTTCTAGAGACTTTGTTCTTTTCTTCCATTCTTACTATCTTCTTTTACGGTTAAATGATGTTTTTTCTAGTGGTATGCATTGATTCCTTGTTTTTTAAAAATTTTTGTATGTCTACTACAGGTTTTTGCTTTGTAGTTACCACGAGACTTACCAACATATTATAACAGGTTATTTTAGGCAGCTAACAATTTTTAGCACAATAAAGCTCTACAAAAATCATTTTTCATGAAATTTTGCTACATTTCCTTTCACAAGGATGTTTTAAAGATAACCATCAAATGTGTCTATAATTATAATCCAGCAAATTGAGAGTTGACAAATGCTCTTTAATTCATACAAAGTTAGAGTATGCATTTTATATTGTCTGAGTTCAGGAAAAATATTAAAAACTAGTTCTCTCATATTTTTCCAAAGCACTACAGAATCTTTATATTATAGTCATAAAATAATTGAGTGTGGTGAGAGAAAAGAAGAATGTGTACTGTTGAAAACACCTGATTATTCGCAAGTTGTACATAGCCAATTAGGAAGTTATAGCATGCAGCTACCACATGTATGCTTTTAGGTAACAGGTTCAGCAGGCCCCACCTCAAATGCCCTCCTATCAGCCTATTCTCGGGTAAAGGCATGGTCGACTCCACTTAGATCAACATCATTTAGATTACCATTCTCATGTACCTGGTCTCTATGTTTTTGGTCTTGCACATCTCCAATTGATCACCACACAAATAACATTTCTAAAATACAAATCTGATCATTTCACTATTGTTTGTAAAACCCTGGGCCACACAAGGGCAAGAAATAAGCCTAACATGAAATAAGAAAGATCTACTGGGCATTGATCTCTCTCGCTTGCTCAGCCCTGTCTTTGCTCATGCTGTGCCTTTTCCCTTGCAGCGTGTCTCAGCAAGTTCCCCTGGCTCCAACATCACACACTCATCTGAGGGTAACTTTTCGTCACTATTCAGCACTGAGCCCCGGAGTCTCCTCTCAGCTCCTTGTTTGAACTCAGATGTCACAGATAGAATTAGTGTGTCCTTATGAGCTGCACCCTTCACACGAGTATCAAAACAGCTTATTTATTTTCTTACATTTGTTTGCATAAACAACTACATGTATTTTTCAAACTCCTTGGTAAAAGCCATGTGCTATTCAAAATTTAATCTTATTTAACTATTTTTAATTATAAAATAGTACAAAATGCTTGTTAAATAAATGAAGGATTGAATGTTGATGCCATCCCTCTGCTTGTTTGTATAACAAGTTACATGTTTGAAATCTCAGCTCAGGAATCACCCTGGGCAGGTAACCTTCCTTAAAACTCCTTCCACTCAGGTGTCATATTTTTTCTGCAGTCACTTATGTGGTCCTACATCCTCAATACACCACATGGCAGTAATTATTTCGGAGAGATAAATCCACTAGACGCCATCAGAATTGGACCATGCAGAAAAATGTAGCCCTCAATAAAGAAGGGGCGATGACTGGATTTTCTTGGTAATGATTAGATATAATGAAATGAGCATGATTTCTAAGATGTCACACTGCCACCAAGCAGAAAGGAGAATATTTTCAAAAAGGGAGAAAAGCCTGGTATTTAATTATTTGTAAATGATTTCAACTTCACAAAAATCATTAAAAAACAATAGTACAATTAATACCTATATACCCTTTACCCATACTCATGTGTGGCAGCAACATTGAACTCAGTTTGTTTCATTGCCCCTCTCTATCTCCCTCCCTCTTTCCCTCTCATCATTTGAACACCTCATGACCTTTTTGTCTCTAAATATTAAGTATTTCCTGAGGTTAAGAATATTTTTTCACAAAATTAGAGAACAGTTATCAACTTCCAAAAATGTTACATTAGTATAACACAATTGTAAAAGAATTTTGGATGGACAAAGACTATAAAATAGAGTTTCCACACAGTGAAAGAATTCCTCAAAATGAGATGAATATGAGATGAGGCATCATTGTATGAGAGTCTAAGGAATAACAGGGATAAAATCCTAAGTATCTGATGGGTAGAGAAAAGGAAAATAAATCTTTATATCCAAATTTCCTACTTTATAATTTCCTAAAGGACGAATCTCACAGTTAACATTTTCTTCAGAGCCCCCATGACATCCTTATTCCTAAGACTATAGATTAAAGGGTTCAGCACCGGAGTGAGGATGGTATAGAAGACAGATACCATCATGTCCTTCTCAGGGGTGTGGTAGGAGCTGGGGAGCATGTAGGTGTAGACGGCAGCCCCATAGAAGAGGATGACCACAGTCAGGTGGGAGGAGCAGGTGGCAAAGGCCTTTTTCCGGCCCTCTGCTGAGTTCATCCTGTGGACGGTGAGGAGGATGAGTAAATAGGAGCTTGAAATGATCGTCACAGGGATGAGGAGCATGAGGACACAGCATAGGTACATGAGGGTCTCATAGAGTGAGGTGTCTGAGCAGGACAGGATCGTTACAGCAGGGACTTCACAGAAGAAATGATGAATCTCCCAGGATCTGCAGAAGGGGAAGCTCATGGTGATGGGAGTGAGCATGAAGCCATCCACTGAGCCCAGGAACCAGCAGCCCGATGCCAGGAAAAGACAGACCCTATGGTTCATGAGGACAGGGTAACGGAGAGGATGGCAGATGGCCACGTAGCGGTCATAGGCCATGGTGGCTAGAAGGAAAAATTCCGAACCTGCTAGTGTCAGATAGAGGAACATCTGCATCCCACACTCAGGGGCTGAGACCTTATTCACACCCATGACCTGGTCCAGGAGCATCTTGGGCACAGTGACAGAAATGTACGCCATGTCCATGAGAGACAATTGACTGATGAAAAAGTACATGGGGCTGTGGAGGTGGGCGTCACAGTGTATCAGAAGGATCAGGACAGCATTTCCAGACAACGCCTTCAGGAAAACCACAAAGATGACCACACTAAGTAGAGCTGGATGTTTGGATCGTCTGAAGAGTCCCATGAGGATGAAATCCAACTTTCCAGTGTGGTTGGCCATCCTGGTGATGTTGGCCATGAGGTTTCACCTAGGCCACCAAGGAGAGTTTTGGAGTCAGTGTAACGCGTCCCTTTGTAATGAGTGTTTCGTGAGTACTCACATTTGTGTATGCTCATTGTGCTAACCTGAGTCCCGTGGGTCTGGGGATTTGAGTATATAAATGACATATAACAAATTCACAAAACAAACTAAGAATTCACAACTATAGGCCAGAAGAATTGGTAACTGATAGTAAGGTTGTCACGGTTCAAATTCATAAACTTTCCTGATGATAATGCCATTTATCAACAAGTACTGAAAATTTGCAGAACCTCCCTCCTCTGCTAACACAAACAGTGACTCATTGAAAGAAAGATAAAGCAAACTCCTTATTGTAGAGTTTTTGTCATAGACAGCTGAATTGAATCAACATCGCTGGTTTAAGAAACAATAGGCATCTTCAAAATACTCAGAGGTATATATGATATAAGAAAGATTTAGCAAGTAACTAAAGCGTAACTTGGAAAAAAAATTATGCCAGATGTTTGAACCTCCTCCTCCCATAGGATCAGGCCATGCTGTGAGGCTCTGTGATTGCGTGGAGCGAGCCTCACATTCTCATGAGCAGGGAAGGGTCCTCACACACAGCTGACCCTTTAGACATCGAGAGACGTGAAGTGAGGAGCCCACACACAGTAGACTCCAGCTATGGGTCCACCTTTTTCTCTGTCTGCCATTCCTTTCTCCAATCTACATCAAAAAGGATAAAAATCATGTTTGAGCTCAGGTGTGGTGAGGGTAAAATGAGGAAATGTAATGAAAGTGCTTAGAATAGTACAGTTTCCGATGAATAAACACATATACTCTTAGTGTAGATGTTAACTCTTTAAGCTAACTATTCTGCACAACCTAAGAGATTGTTGCTACTATTATTATATAAGATATATTACTTCCATTCTCCAGATTCAGTACCTATTCATACATTTAAGAAGCTGACTTTCAAAATAAAAATGGCAGAAGTTCTGCAAAATAAAGCATATGACCCACTTTAAAAAAAAACAATTTGGATTTTATATTTGTGTGTTTATGTGTAAATACTCTGGTTTTATATAAATATATATAATATATTTATGTAAACATACACAGGTGAATATATAACTATAACATTTCTTATTTTAACCCTGGTTATGCAGAGCTTTTTGGAGACTCCTATGTCCTTCCTGCCTAGTATGTGGTCCTCCAACCTCATCTCCTTAAAGCTCCTCTCATTTTAAAGCTCATTAAATCTCAGCGAGGAAGAACTAGAATTTGGAGGGTCACTGCTGTTTATCAGACAAGGCTTTAGTTGTTTTTGCAAACCTCATGTGCTTTATTACTTGCCACAATCAATCTTTCATACAAACTGAGAAGCAGGGAGGAAAATCAAACAACACTGAGGCATCTGACTTCAACTCACTGTTTCTCCCTCTACCGTGACACTCACAGCCTGTGTTATACTGACGATGAATCGCCTCTGACTTCAACTCACTGTTTCCTTCTCTATCATGATACTCACAGCCTCTGTGTTATATGCAGAAGATGAATCAAAGAAAAATTGAACTTGAGTGCACTTAAGGAGGTCACAGTCAGTCTATTCAGGGAACAACTATTATGTAAATGTGATTTGAAGTTGAATTTTTAAATAGTTACAAAATAAATAAGGGCAATAGACACAAAATATATCTGGCCGTTCTGAAATAATCCATAATAGCTGTTTCCACATTTTCTCTGAAAGAAATTAAAACTTTCCAACTTTTCAACTTCTGACATATTAAATGTTAAATTTTGAGAGCCCTTGCCAAGAATAAGGACATAATAACTCCTCTTTCTGGGAAGACTTTAGCTGTGATTATGATGCAGGGACATTTTGGAATGAATTTACAAGTTTCAAATATATTTTGTATTCTTGTAGTAATTACAAAAAGTATTTAAGACATTCAACTCACCAAAACTTCCAACATTCTGGGATGCTTCGGTGCTTTAATATAAATATCCAACAAATCTGAGACACATTTTATGTACATATGTATATATATGAATAGATGATGATGATAGATAGATAGATAGATAATGTGTATCAAACACTACCCCTACTGGCAAATGGTGGCTGAGATCTGTGTACAATTTAAAAACATTCCAATAAACTGCAAAACACACCTGCTGACCTCGTCCATTATTTGTGGCCAAAGTGAAGCAAGGACCAGAGGAGCGACCAGCACATGTGAAGACCTAAAAGGTGTTTGCTCAGTAAATTGAGGGGGAGCAGGAGGGCAGGGAGATGCGGGGTTTCCTAAGAAATCTCTGCTGCTCTTTAGGAAATGGCCATCACTATCATTAAGCCACTATCATTAAGCCACTATCAACAGCTCAACCAGGACACGGGACAGATAAGGGAACACTATCCACACACAGTGAACTGGCCCCCTGTTCATTCTTCTTCTGTACCCGCTTGTTTGACTTTCATGTAAATTGCTTAATGCATGTTTAACTTGGGGATTTATTGTAAGTATAAATGGAGTCAAATCTTTATTTGAAGCATACAGCATCCCAGGAATTGTTCTAATACTAATACTAAAATTAATACTTTACATTTCTTCTTTCCCAAGAGCCTATGAGTTACTTCCTATTATTTTCTCTCTTTACATATTAAAAAATGCAGGTTCTCAGGGTACCTGCCTAATATCACACACCTAACCTGAGATAGAACGCACGTCTCAGCCCGAGAGAGAGAGCCAGCGCACGTAACTCTGCCTGATTCCTCTCAGGGACACCATCCTCCCTCTGCAGTCTACACTTTGGATTTAGGCCACTGTCTGTGGGTTTCATCAAAGAAACATAAAATGATTGAGACATTGTTTCTAGTGTTTTGTAACCCTCAGAAATCATCCCCTCTCAAAAGAAAATCAGTCACTTTTCCTCTATAAAACTTCAGTGACAGGAAAATAAATACATCATTGTATGAAAATCTAAAACTATAGAATATATATTATTATGTCCATAAATAATTGGAAATTAAAAATCTATTTACCATTATGTCACAGTAAATAAGTGTTGTATAGAAGTTATAAGAAAGAATAACATTTGCTTTTCTCCATTAAAAACAGATGATAAAGAAAAAATGAGGAAATGCTGTGAAGAACTAATAGAACGTTTCAGAAGCAGAACAAGTCGAGAGCAGTGATGACCCTTTTCTTCCTGCTAGTACCTCCTGTCTGTCTGGCTGAACTCACCATCAGATGATGTCTTGAACCTCACCTAGATGGGCTGGTGGTGTGTGGCCAGGTTAAGAGCACCAACAGGAGTAAGAAAGTGACCTGCCTGGTTTTACCGTGTGCACTAGGGGAGGGGTTGAAAGCTTTCGGTTGATACATCACCTCTGGGAGTTGAAGAAGAATGCAATTAAGAGAGCTAAAGAAGTCAGTAGGTATCTCTCCTGAACAATTCTGGTTTTCTTCTAATAGCTTTTACAATTTTTACCTCTGTTATGAAATGCAAACTTTTAACCAATATTAGTAATAGTAATCTCAAATCTCATCATCATCAAAATCTTATTTATGAAATGTAGGAGTTAGTTCATATACAGCCTTAGCCTTTTCCACATTATAAAATATATTCCATATATATGTGTGATCTTCATTTAATATTCAAGTAAATGTTGTAAGATATTGTTATTTTTATTCTAACATTTCACAGGTATAGAATCTGAAACTCAGAGGTCAACTGATGTGTCAAAGATACCTCCACAAATCAGTACCTTGATTAAAACTAAAATTGGAGTCATCTTCATATCTTCATCTTTCTCCCTCTTCATTAGGACCGATTGTAGTCTGTTTCCCTCTCACTCACTTGCAATCTTTATTGCTTTAGTGTTGCATTTGATTTTTATCTTTGTTTTTGTTTTAAATACTGTCATTAAAGTCATAGAAAAATCTAAAGTAAAACTGGTTGAATAAAAATTTTAAAATCGACTCTAATGTAATAAACCAGACAAAAATGATACTTTACATGTTATATCTTCCCTTTAAACTACAAATATTCATTGAGTGTATACCCTGTATTAGGCTGTTGGAATAAAACAGGGAAGAAGACAGAAGAAACTGCACCGCCATCTTAGATCTTGCAGCCAAATTCCTCTGAACTTTTCTCTAAAGACGTGCTCTGGAAAAATGTTGATCATTTTCCTACATCATGGAGGTCTTTTCATGACCACCTTTGTCTAGACAATGTCCTGTTTTTAGGTGCACGTTTGAGGGCTGGAGTCTCTGACCCACAGTGCTGCAGCCTGCACGTGGTTTGTCCTGACTTCTTTGCTACTTCACTTTTCGTAAGGCTCTGAGAGTGCAGGCCCTTGTGGGTGGACACTGCAGGGTGAGAGGAAGAAGTAAACTACTTTTTTCCGTTTCTGATGGGGGTGTGGGTCAGCAGCTATAAGCAACAGGGACCATGGGGGGCCTCAGACTTCAGCACCTGAGAGGCAGTTTCAGTCGTATTGGGGAGATGCAGGCATCTGGGTTGCTGCACATCACCAGGGCAGGGTTCTCTCAGCAGCCCTGGAGTGCAGAGTTCCCATCAGCTCAGCAGTGAGGGGCACATGGGGCTCCAGTGGTGAGGACTCTTGGTCCTTGGATGACAACACTCCCCTGCCCACTTCTCCAGCCTTCCCTGTAACCCTTTGCCACCTCTAACCAATCTTCTGTGTTACATCTCTTCGGTTTGCAATATGTAGTGTTCGTATATGACTGGACAGTATCTACTGGAGTTAATATCTATCAGAGTAATTATATCACAATTGCAATCTTCTCCTAAGAGTGAATAGTGACATTAAAAATTTCAACATTATAAATTATGCAGAAATAAAACTAATTATACAAAAAATACACTCTGAATGTCAGTTTTTCCCTGAGACAATCTACCATTTGATATACGGTGATTCACACTTCTTAATATACAACATTGAATTACTTTTCCAAAAGCCTCTTCAAATTTTGCTGCAGAATTAAACTTCACTTGCACCAGCTCTGAATTATGTGTGCTTTTCCTTCTTGGTCAATTTCATAGGTGTATCATTATTTGTCTTTTTTAATTAATATGTTTATATAACTTTTCATGTTTATCCATGTAACTACTGCTTCTATTGAAATGTTTTCTTCATAAATATAAATGTGTTTTTGGTATGAAAATAATAACTGGCCAGATGCGGTGGCTCACACCTGTAATCCCAGCACTTTGAGAGGCCGAGGTGGGTGGATCACCTGGGGTCAGGAGTTCGGGACCAGCCTGGCCAGCATGGTGAAACCCCATCTCTACTAAAACTACAAAATTAGCTGGTGTGGTAGCACGTGCCTGTAATCCAAGCTACTTGGGAGGCTGAGACAGGAGACTCAGTCAAACCTAGGAGGCAGAAGTTGCAGTGAGCCAAGATCACGCTATTGCACTCCAGCCTGGGCAAAAAGAGTGAAACTCTGTCTCAAAAAGAAAAGAAAAAAAATAGTAACTCTTTGTGAATAGTATCAACTAAAATATTTTTATTTCAGTTTCATTCTGATATTTTGTGTCATCAGAATTTTTTAAAGTATTTTGTTTAATATATTAACTTTAATAATTTCGTTAACTGTTTTGTGCTTACAAAGTCTTTATGCATTTGGGGATTATGTAAAGCATCTACCTTTACACTTTTAATGAGTTTCAGAGGTTTTTTTGGTACCTTTGAGTTATAATACAAAAATAATTTATTTGGGTGTGATATGCAGTGAATTGCTAACATTATTGCTTTTAAGTTAAAATTAAATTCCAATGTTGAATGGTATTTTCTTTTATTCATTAATTTCAAAAATAATTAGTAACTGTTTGTTCCAGGCACTATCTAGGTTTATGATGTTTGAAACAAAGATTCTTCCCACACAGCATTTATATACTAGTGGTAAATACAGGCAATAAACTAATAAATATGTAATGAAATGTCAAGTATTAATAATCACAGTAAATAAAAAATAAAGGCAGAGAGATGAGATAGGAATGATTAGCGAATCTATTTAACACAGGCTAGTTAGGAGCCCTTTATTTAGAAGGTGAAATTTCATCAGATCCGTAAATGAAACAATGGAGTCACTCGTAAACAACGGGGCAGAGATGCTTTAAGCAGAGGAAACAGAGAAAGTTAAAAGCTGTGAGACTGAAAGTAACTTGCAACGTTTGAACAGCAGCAAGAAGATCTGTGGCCCCAGACTGAGGTGAGAAAGTTGGCAAAACAGAAAATGGGGTTAGAAGTGGAACCAAGGAACCGGTCCTATAAAATCATGATGGTCCTGAGAAGGACCAGGGACAGGCAGAGGTGTGTTTAAGAAAGGGAAGACAAAAGTATACACGGCACTCAAGAGAGTGCATGTGCACTTAGAAAAAGAAAGGAAGTCTCAGCCAATGTTTGGCCCCTGTCTTCTAAGAACTCTTCAGGAAGTTTACCAGGCATGCTCACAGTCTGTTCTGACTGTAGCCTGGCTTCCCCTCCCCACCCCACCCCACCATACAACTCCCAGCAACAGACAGCACTCAGAGAATCTCCAGAGAGTGAAGGGCCCCAAAGCTTTGACTCTCCTTGCTTCTCGGTGAATCCCACTCTGAGATATCACTGGAGGACGGACAGAGAGGAAAGACATTTGGAACAGGTATATGATTATCACTGAGAAGGCTTGAGCGAGAATGCAGGAAAGGGTTTGAGCTAGTCCTGATGAGACATATGGTGTCTGGGCAAGGGGTGTGGTGGAGGAGGTGAAGTTGGATTGCCGTTTATACACACAGGAATATTGGGGCTGGGCAGGTTGGCATGGAACGCTGAAACTGAAATTTGGGACTCCAGTTGCCCAGTACACATCTACATGAAGATGATGCAAGGCTAGTGTATACACGAATCCAGAGGTCATAAGAGAAGGCAGTCCTGAAATCATGGTTTTGAGAACCAGGGTGTGTGGAGGAAACAACGGGATCACACAAGGAAGGAGGGTCAACATCTTATACCAGAAGCCAGTGCAGGGGAGGCTAGGTTTCCACATTATCTCTTCTTTTCCATTGGTCTTTCACTGAATTCCTTTAAAATATCTTGTTTTATTGGGTGTCCCCTCATGATAATTTTAAACAACTAGTGAAACAATTCTTGTCTTCATGTATGTTCATGTTCAAAATAAGCAAGTTTTTAAGTTTGTTTTTCCTTTCAGTTGATCTATTTGGCTAGGTTCAAAAGTTCTAACTAATTGTATTGATTAGAATACAATGAAATACATTTGGGAAGAATTGATATTGTTAAAATGTTGCAGATTTTTATAAACAAGCACAATAGGTCTCACAGAGATATCCAAATACTTAGAGGTCGGGTCTGGATTTTAAAGTAATTTTAATAAAATTCTTCCACAATAATTGAGATTCTGAGATTTTTATAATTTAATTTTTTGGAGAATATTTTTCATTTAAAAATACTTAAAAAGCATTAACAGTGACAGAAAAGCTATTGATATATATTTTTTCAACATTAATATTTATGGTGGAAACCCTGCTTAAAGTTCTACTTTTTTTACATTTTAAATGTAAACTGAGAAAATATTTATAAAAACAAAAATAACATTTTAAGAATTAAACTATAAATATATAAAACATGTCAAACATTTTGTAAATGATCCTGAAGGCACCATCAGAGATATAAAGAAATGCAAGATACATGCACAGAACAAAGGAAGAGGGGCCACCACCTTTATGGACTGGAGGTCAGGATATCAAGCCAAAGAGGACCTCAAGTCCTGAAATCTAACGAAACTTGCCCTGCCAGGCTCAAGTTTGCTTTGGCTCTAAGACTTCTATTTAACTTCCAATTTCTCTTTTTCAGAATAGGAATGTCTATCCTATATGTGAGTGTCACTGTTGCATTTTGACAGCAGATAACTTGCTGTCTGGTGTCACAGGTTTTAAATTAACTTATTGAGTAAAATCTAAGTTGAATAATGTGCTAGAGAAATATTCTTAATACAAAGAGATTAAAAACATTAGCAAGATGGTTGAAGAGGAGCTCCTATAATCGTATCCCCTCAAAGCAGCAATAATATAGCAGCCTGTCTGGCACAAAAGTCCCTTGGTGGGAACTTCTGGATCTTGACAGGAAGTGTCAAAACTGGTGAATCCCAACACTGAAGAGAGCTATTTTGAGAAGGCAGGGCCACACCCAGGTGGCAGGCTCACTGACTGTGGTCCTGGCTACAGACACAGAATTAACATCCCTCTGGACTCAGCTAGTGCCCTGTTTGGCATTGGTCCTGCCACCTGAACCATCTGCCAAGGGGCCCAGGGGCACTCACATTGACCAGTACCCTCAAGTCACAGGCCTGCTAACCTTAGTTCTAGCTCTGAACCCTGAAGCAGTCCATGACCCAGCTCCAGTCCCCCTCAGCCATGGTCTGGGAATAGACCTTCCTGCACAGAGACCTGCCAGGAGGCAACCCTGTTCATGTGCCTAGAGGCAGGCTCTCAAAACTACGTCCGACTGCCAATCTTGAAGCAGCTCTGTTACTTGGCACCCTTTTCCATTGTTCAAAAGCAGTCCTGCCCACTCAGTGACCTCCTGGGTGACACATTGATCGATGCCCCTGTAAACAAGACTGCTGACATCAGTCAGCTGGAGATCCTGAATCAGCCCTCTTATCCAGCTCCAGCTTCCATTCAACCACAGCTTGGGGATATCTTATATCTTATATTTACAGGGACTATGCAGGAGGTACACCCATCCATGCAGGACAGAAGACCTCAGACTCAGCTGTGGTCCATGACACAGCCCTGAGACTCAGTTCCAGGTCCTCTCAACTGTGGTCTGGGGACAATCCTTCTTGCCCAGAGACTTTCCCACCAATATAATGGGAGTCCTTCAAGGGACTCAATAGAATCCACACCCATTTCTGTACGTGGTAACAGGCATGCCATCTACAGAACCAAATGTGAACCCTGAAGCAGAGTGTCCTAGCGATAGCCCTATTGACCAAGGTACTAGAGGCAGTCTTCTCTACCAAGAGACCAGACAGGATTTATACTCAACTCGACTTCTGGTAACAAGCTTGCCAACTAAAAATTCTGCTGTAGACTCAGGAGTAGCCACATGACATGGCTCTAACCCTGCTCAACTGCAGTCCTGGAGGTAATTCTTATTAGCCTAGAGAAATGACAGGAGAATGTCTTTACCTACTGAAACCAGTCTATGCAGACCAGAAGAGCTGTTTGCAACTTCAAATGTGCACACATCAATGCATAGCTACTTGAGTCACAAAAAAATCAGGCAAATGTGACACCAAAGTAATAAATACCACCAAAGTAATAAAGCTTCATTAAGCAACCCCAAGGAAATGGAAATCTATGAATTGCCTAAGAATTTTAAAATCATATTAAATAGGATCAAAGAGCTTCAAAATAACAGAGATCTAAAACTAATAAAAAAATGCATAAACAAAATGAGAAATATAATAAAGACATTGACATCAAAAAAGGAAAGAATTCTTGTGCTGAGAAGATTTGTAGTCAAATTTGGAACACTCTAGTACTGTAATGGAGGTGTGTAAATCTCGTTAACTTTAGTGTAAAGCTTGTAAAATATTCTGAATACAATTATGGAAGTGAAAAGGTCAACAGAGTACTTTGACAACATATTTCATCATACAGTGAAAGGAGGCAATGAACTTGAATTTAGATCATACAGTTAGAGGAACAAAAAAAATAAAATGTAGAAGCATCTGGGAACTATAAGACAACATCAAGCAAATATATATGTGTATTATGACATTCACAGAAGGAGAAAAAAACAAAGCTAAAATGACAACATTTCCTAAATTTGTGAGTGATAGAGACATGCAGATTCATAAAGTTCAAAGGAACCCAAGCAAGAACAAACCAAAACATTATACCTGAGACATATTATGATCAGTTTGTCAAAAGTCAAAGACAATTCTATAATTTGGAAAAATATGGATGAGCCCAGAGGACAATATTTTAAATAAAATAAGCCTGGTATAGGACAAATATTGCACAATTTCATTTATATGTGAAGTGTCCAATAGTCAAACACATAGAAACAAAGAGTAAAATGGTGGTTACCAGAGTTTGGAGTGAGGAAGGAAAAGAGAAGATGTGGGTCAAAGGATACAAAATTTTATTTAAGCAGGAGAAATAAGTTCAGGAGGTTTATGGTACATCATGCTGACTACAGTTTCAACAATTATATACTTGAAAATTGCTAAGAAAGTAGGTATAAGAGTACTCAGCACATGAAATGATTACTTGAACCCAGGAGGCGGAGGTTGCAGTGAGCCGAGGTCATGCCACTGCACTCCAGCCTGGGCAACAGAGTAAGACTTCGTCTAAAAAAAAAAAAAAAAAAAAAAAAAAAATCTCCCAAGAAAAGCCTAGGACTAGAAGACTTCATGGTGAATTCATCCAAGCACTTAAAGAACTAACACATATCCTCCTCTGATTTTTTCAAAACATTGAAGGGCAAAAACACTTCCAAATTCATTTACTGAAGCCAACATTACCTTTAAACCAAAGCCAGATAAGAACACTAACTCCCAAAATATTATAGGTCAATATTCCTGAAAAACAGCTTTCATAATTTTTGGTAAAAACTAACAAAATACTAACAAGCCAAATTAAGCAGTGCATTAAAAGGATACTTCACCATAATCAAGTGGGATTATTCCTAGGATGTATAAACCAAAAGTATGTGAGACAGGTCTCAATCAGATTGAAAGTTTATTTCACCAAGGTAAAGGACATGCTTGGAAAAAAGAACACAATTACAGAAACAGTCTGTGGTCTGTGCTTTTCTTTAAAGATAATTTTGAGGACTTTAATATTTAAAGGGGAAAGCAGGCTAGAGGGGAAAGAGGGAGAGTATGATAATCCACAGGTTGCAAGAAGAAAAGAAGCAAAGAAGCAGGTAGGTGAATAGTCATTTATGTATTCCTTTCACACTCAGTAGAAGGATCATCGCTTTACGTCAGGTAAGGAGAATGTGGAGTTACTGCCTGTTACTCTAACCTTTCATCTGTAGTTAACTGATTAGGAACAAAAAGAAAACAAAAACCAAAGGAAATGCAGTTTCTTGCATAACTCAGCTTTCAGCTTAGTATCTTTTTTCCTTTTGGCATAGTAAATTGGGGTCCCAAGTTTTTTTCCCACAGATGCAAAGATGGTTCAACATACACCAATCAATAAATATGATATGCCACATTAACAGAATAAATGACAAAAACAATTGTGCATCTCAATAGACATAGAAAGAGCATTGGATAAAATTCGACATCTTTTCATGATGAGAACTCAGCAGATTTGTTATAGAAGGAATGTGCCTTTACATAATAAATCTCACAGCTAAATCATACTCGATGGAGAGAAAGATTTTCCGCTAAGATCAGGAACAAGACAAGAGTGCTCACTCTCACTGCTTCTATTCAACATAATACCAGAAACTAGCCAGAGCAATTAGGCAATAAAAAGAAAGAAAAGGCTTTCAAATCAGAGGACGTTAAATTATCTTGCCATCTGTTTGCAGATGACATGATTTTACATATAAAAAACTCAAGACTCCAGCAAAATCCCATCAGAGTTAAAGAATTCAAGAAACTTGCAGGATACAAAATAAACATATATAAATGAGTTGTATTTCTATACACCAAAAAGGAACCATCCAAATATGTAATTAAGAAAAGAATACCATTCCCAATACCATCCAATAGAATAAAATACATAGGAATAAATACAGCTGAGGGAGTGAAAGATCTGTTCACTAAAGAGGAGATAAATAAGTGGGAAGATATCTCATGTTAATGGGTTAGAATAACTAATATTCTTTAAATGTCCATATTACTCCAGAAAATGTCTGATTCAGTATAACCCCAACTAAAATCCACAGGCATTTTTTACATAAATAGAATAAAACCATTCTAGAAATTTTGTGAATGCACAAAAATATCAAATAGCCAAAGCAATATTGATAAAAAGAACAAAGCTGGAGGCTTCAGACTCCGATTTCAAACTATATTACAAATTATAGAAATAAAGCCATGCTTATATGGTCAATTAGTCTTTGATGAGGGTGCCAAAAATGCAGCATGAAGAAAGGATAGTCTGTTCAATAAATGGCATTGGGAAAACCAGATACATACATGCAGAGGAACGAAATTGGACTCTTATCCTACACTATTCCCCCAAAACCAAATCTAAATGGATCGAAGACTTAAATGGAAGACCTGGACTTGTAAAAGTCCTAGATGATGACATAGGGAAACAGCTCTTTGACATTGATCTTGGCCGTGATATTTTTGATATGACACAAAAATTAAGGCAACAAAAGCAAAATAAGCAAGTAGGACTGCATCAACATGCAAAAACTTTTGCACAGAAAAGGAAACAATAAAATGAAAAGGTAATCTCTGCAATGGGAGAACATATCTGCAAACCATATTTTGGATAAGGAGTTAGCATCCAAAATATAAAAGAAACTGACAAAATCATTAGCAAATATCAAATTACCCAACTTAAAAATGGTAAAGACAGTGTGAATAGGCATTTTTCCAAAGAGGCAATACAAATAGCCAACAGGTGAATGAAAAGATGTTCAACATCACTAATCATCAGGGCCACACAAATCAAAACCACAATGAGATATCAGCTCACACCTGCTAGGATGGCTATTACCAGGCAATACATAGCAAGTGCTGTCAAGTGTGTGTAGGAAATGGAACACTTGTACATGTGCATTGCTGGTAGAAACGTAAGTTGCAACAGCCTGTGTTGAAAGCTGTATGACAGTTCTATAAAGATTAAAAATAGAGCTACTCTATAATTCAGCAATCCCACTCTGTACACCTTCCTGAGGTAAATAATTATATAAATAATATAATGACAACATAAGAACATTGTTAAATTAGTCATCTGTGGTGTCCATTTGAGCAGTTTTGCCCATTTATTTAATTACAGCAATTTCTGAAACCAAATTTTACCTACCTCTAACAACCCCCTCTTACAAGTGATATTTCTGCACCACTTGGTGGAATTTACTTCCAAATTCAGATCTCTGTACACAAACTCAGACAAACTCCTTTCATGCACTGCAGGAATAATTTTCAGTGAGAAGCAAAAGTGTTCGGTCGATGTGTCATGTAAAGCAAGTACTTGTCATTTCTCTCGAAGATGCGATAGGCATGGGAACACCTGGCTTCCATTCATTGTCGGTAAATCAGGCAAGGTCAGGGCTGTGCCAAGGGGAAGTAAATTAACAGCTTCACGATACAGCTCGAGATTCAGCTTCTTGCATATTAGAACAAATGTATTTCTTTCCTAATTTCTCACGTTCCAGAAATACTAGACCCATGAATTATTTTGTTAATGAAAATGATAGTGATCTGATGCTCATAGATTTACAGAAGTTACCTTTGTAGCATGATATACATCTGGCAAACTAAAGGTTAGTGACAAGTTTATAACCATTTTGCTGGTTTTCCCAGTTTCAGAAGAAACATGCTGAGGGGGTTAAGCTTTCCTAAGTCTCCATTATCGCACGCGACTGTTATGATATTTATTGTAAACATAGTAGACCATTGTCTGGAATAGACTAAATCCTAAAGAAACTAAATCTGGAACTACTTTTATTTACATACTATGAAATAGATGAACCTATTCTTTGAATTTTGAAATGGATTCATTTTTGGTTTAGGTGGTTCCAATGGCCAATGCTAAAACTACTGGTGTTTACACTACAAAGTTCACTTCAGCCTTTGGAGAAAATGCGTTTCTTTGTACTTACTGAGATACAATAGCAGAAACACTGACCCCAGTGGCTGCCAATGTGAACCGAGGTTTACAATGTATTGCAAAGGGAGGGAGCAGCCAATACTCCTCCTCTAGGGCTCTGCTAGGATTCTAAGTCTTTACAATGAGTCTCTTCGAGGGGTAAAGTGTTTAAGACCAAGTCTCATACTAAAATGCTCAATGAACCTGGGATGGGAGATAAGATAAAAGGCACTCTATAAGGTCTTTCATAGGTCAGCTACTGCAGTGCAGTTAAAAACACTCTAAAGATATTAAATCTAATGAGATAAATGGGAGCAATAAGCAGTATGGAGGGAAAACGCCACGTATAAGAAAGAAGGAAAATATGAGTGGGCTTTGTGCTGGGGACCCGGAGACCTGAGGGCAAAAGAGAGGAGAGATAGGGAGTAACGGAATTATAGAAAGAGGAGGGGACAATGCTTGCCCTTTACTACTTTTCTTGGTTCATTCTTGACTGCATCATGCTCCTCAGAGCCCTGGTGACATCTTTGTTGCGGAGACTGTAAATGAGGGGGTTCAGCACAGGAGTGAAGATGGTGTAAAAGGCAGACACCATCATGTCCTGCTCAGCTGTGTGGTAGGAACTCGGGAGCATGTAGGTGTAGAAGGAAGCACCGAAGAGCAGCAGCACTATGATCATGTGGGAGGAGCAGGTGGCCAAGGCCTTCCTGTGGCCGGCG
Source organism: Homo sapiens (assembly GCF_000001405.40). NCBI lineage: Eukaryota > Metazoa > Chordata > Mammalia > Primates > Hominidae > Homo > Homo sapiens. Next base: position 248,474,057 of record NC_000001.11, on the reverse strand, counting down.
GCAGAATTCATCCTGTGGATGAGATGCAGGATGAGGGTGTATGAGCTGGAGATGACCATGATGGGGGCGAGAAGCATGAGGATGCAGCACAGGTACATGAGCGTCTTATAGAGGGAGACGTCAGAGCAGGAGAGCTTCAGCAGGGCAGGAGTCTCACAGAAAAAACTCAGGATTTTCCTAGACTGGCAAAAGGGGAAGCTCATGGTAATGGGGGTGAGCAACAAACCATCAACCATTCCCAAAACCCAGCAGGCTGACACCAGGAGCTGGCACACCCTCTGGTTCATCAGCAGTGGGTAATGGAGAGGTCTGCAAACAGCAGCATATCGGTCATAGGCCATGGCAGCCAGGAGGAAAACCTCAGCTCCAGCCAGGGTCAGGTAGAAGAACATCTGGATCCCACAGCCTGACGGGGAAATGGTATCATCTCCAGTGACCTGGCCCACAAGCATCTTGGGCACAGTCACGCATAGGTACATGAGATCCATGAGCGCGAGCTGGCTGATGAAGAAGTACATGGGGGTGTGGAGGCGGGGCTCTGAGTGGATGAGGAGGATGAGGAGGGCATTCCCAGTGAGGGCCATCAAGAAAAGAAGGAAGGTCACGGTGTAGAGGAGGGCAGCATGCTTGCTCTCAGCAAAGAGTCCCGTGAGGGTGAAATCAGTGCTTGCTGTTTGATTCTGAGAAGTCTGATTCCCTGAGCACATGACTGGCTCAGTTTCCCCCTGAGGAAAAAAAAGTCATTAATTTTAAATCTTTCCTATGTACATGGCTTTCCTGACCTTTTTCTGGTAAGACATGTGCTTTGAATTATTTTTCTAAATATTGATTTAAACTGACATAAAATCATAAGTTCAAATCTTAGGTCAAGTTGTATCTTGGCCACAAGCTAAAGTGAACTACGAAACAGATCTGGGGAGGTGACTATTCATGAGCTAAGTCAAGAGTGAAGACAGGTACACTCTATGTCTTATTTCCCCCCAGAATTAAGAACACAAGTATACTGGCCTTGTGGGATGGTTAGAGACTGAAGTAGGGAATGCACGTTAGGTCTGTAACACAGTGTTAGTGTTGGGTTGAAATTTTCACTACTTTTTGGATACAGTAGCTCATCCAGGACTCAGTGATGGAAATCACGGCTGATAAGGTTAATATTAATATTGTTAATGGTACAAATATCATAACTAATACCATGAAATAATCTGAAAACTGGAAATCTCCTTAAATTTCTTCTACCATTATATATCTCCATTTAAGTCCACTTTCCTCACGAAAACTTTTCAATTTATTCTGCTATTCCTCACAAGGTTGCATTCCATAAGTAGTGCTGACTGGGGCAGAGGAGCAGAGGGAGAGTCCCGCCTGCCTGAGGAGAGTAGCTTGGGGTGCAGAACTAGTGCCGAGCAGGAGAGCAGCAGTAGGCACAGTGAGCCCTCTCCCAGTCCCCAGTGAAATCTAAGGCATTTAATTTATTAACTGTCAGGCAGAGAAATATTTTTACAAGAAATCACAGCAATAAATGCTGCAGATGCCCTAAATATCAAGTATTTAGTTGAAATATAAACAAAATATTTATTTTCATTTTGCTGATACCATTTATCCCCCAAAAATCATGCCTAAAATGTCCAAAATTCCGTTCATAGTGATTGAAAAATGAAGTTAAAGCACATGAGGCAGTTGTGTTGAATCTTTCATAAAACCGCAGCCCTGCAACCAAGCCTAGGGATCCTCTTGTCCTGCATCTCCTTTGCATAACAAACTAATCACCATCCCCTCCCATAAATTCATAGCTTTGCTCAGTGACTGCTTTGTCTGAATATTTCAGTTTTAATTTTCCAGTTGCATTGTTTTAATCATGCTTGATACAATTGTCTCAAAGTTAAAAAGCCCACTAACTTCTAGACTAATGAAGAGTCAGGAGCTCCATGACTGAGGTTTGGTCATCCTCAGGGTTGCTGTACTGCAGGTTAGAGAAATAATGCTGAGGAAAAAACTAATAGTGACTGAGGCATGTGGAAATGCAAAGTGAAATACAACGCACTGTTCCTAGGGCAAAAAAACAAAAAAACAAAACAAAAACAAAGCACACACACAAAACAAGAGACAAAACAAAAAAAAACCCTGGGACTTCAGGAAACCTAAAGTCAGAATTATGAAGAGCTAGCAACAAGAGTCAGGTATCTTTGTTCCTTACTTATCCCCTTTATAAAGCACTGAAGAGACAGGTCATCAAGACACCTTTCAACAAAGAGACGAACACGGCACATAGAGCACAAACCTTTTGCTCCATCTTTTCTGTTCCATCAGACAATAAATCTAAGCCACGCCAGCTCAGTGAAGCTGCTTTCACCATTCTAAGGCCAAAGCAAAGGGGTTTAAATTCAGAATGAAAATGAGAAAATTACATCGTCAGTTTCTTCACATTAGGGAATTGAGATGAGTGTTTATTGCTTAATTCTTTGCCTTGTTTTCCTTTTTTTTTTTTTTTTTCCTTCTTATTCATCTTTCCTGTACTTGGCATTGTCTCTTTCCTGGAGCTTCTATTTTCTTTAAGACCCTCTCAGAATCCACTATTTTGGTATTTTTGTTTTCTTTTGCTATTTGTTTTTGATGGTTATATTCTAACTTTCCACTCACGGTCCACGTGGGAATTAAACATGTTTTTCATTTATGCGATGCATCTATCCAAAAGCAAATCCATCTTTCTCATGACGTTGCACATTTTTTAAACAACTTCATTTTTCTAGTTTAAAATTATATTTTCATATCAGACATTTAAAATAAGCTCTCTTTGTAAAAGCAAATCTGAATTTCACAAAGGGAGGATCATGCAAAACCAGTGTCAGAAGTCTGTAAACTAAATTTAAAATCCTAAGACCCCTAATCAACTGAACAGACCCCCTCTAGGCCACGAGAATCTCAGGAAAGCTGAAAAGCTTAATTGCAGGACATAAGAAGGGAGACACACTTCATTACACCCATCTTTTGGAATTTAGGCACAACTGACCAGCAATAACATTGAAATAGAGTTCCTAAGACTGACAAAACAGACTGAGTGGCAATAAGATACCAAATTCCAACCTGACTCTGGTATAGCATCACATGACAGATAGCAGACCCTGAGGAAAATCAAAATATTCCACCCCAAAGTATGTATTTGACATATTTTGAAATGGCCCTACAAAGCCATCTTTCGTGGGGAAAAGTTGCATCTGTAGACACTCTCCATTAACACAGCTGGGGCTTTCCCAGATTCAGGAGAAAATATCGGAGTCTGACAACCTTTTAGGTTCTAAAACATTTACCATTTATTATATTTGCTTCCAATTAATTGTGTAATCTTAGTCAAGACACTAAAAGCTCTGAGTGTCACTTTCTCAGAATCAAAAGGAGTGTTATGTACTTGCTATGCTTCTGTGACTCTTAAGACATCTATGAATCTGATGACCGAATGTGGTCTAAGATTTCTCCATGACAGGGTGACCTTCTCCCACATCGCCCCTCTCCTTAAAGGCTCAGAGACTTCCCTTGAAATATTAGTCTCATCGAATTTAGATTATATAATTTGGGAATGAAAGAGAATGGGAAAAGGGAGCCACTTTTCTCAGTGCCTGCAAGGTTCCGAGACTTTGCTGAGTCTTTCTAGCATGACAAACGTACAAGTACTGAGTAGTGTATTCATCCCTGTGTACAGTCATCCCTCACTATCTGTCCTCAGTACCAGGACATCGTGAAAATACCAAAATCCATGATGCTAAAGACCCTAATATGAAATGGCAGAGTATTTCTATATAACCTACACAAATCTTCCCGTATGCTTGAAATCATGTCTAGATTACTTATAACAACTAATGCAATATGAATGCTATGTAAATAGCTGTTATACTATATTTTTTAGGAAATAATGACAAGGAAAAAAGTCTGGAGGATGGAGCAAGATGGCAGAATAGAAGGTTCCACTGATCATCCCCCTGCAAGAACACCAATTTAAAAACTATCTACACAAAAAACACCTTCTCAAGAACCAAAACTCAGGTGAGCACTCACAGTACATGGAGTTAAATTCATATTTCTGAATGAGGCATTGAAGAAGTTGGAAAAACAGTATTGCATCACTGACACTACCACCCCTTCATCCCCCAGCAGCGGTGGTGTGGTATGGAGAGCTTCTCTGTGCACTAAGGAGAGGGAGAGCCAGCAATTCTAAGACACTGAGCTCAGCGATGCCCTTCTTATAGCAGAAAGAAGACCCAGACCAAATTCAGCTGACACCCACCATGAAGGGCGCATTTAAACCAGCCATTGCTGGAAGGGAATTGCGAATCCCAGTGTTTGGAACTTGAGTTACCCAAGCCTCACCATGAAGGGCTAAAGTGGCTCTGGAGCCACAGACAAACCTGAAGGGCAGTCTAGGCCACAAGAGCTGCAAATCCTAATGCTAATCTGGGCCCAGAGCCAGTGGACTCGGGGGACACATGACCTGTTAAAACACCAGCCAGGGCAGCTAAACTCATCCCCTAACCTCAGCCTCCACGGCTTGTGGCTCCAAAAGAGGCCTCTTTCCTCTGCTTTAGGAGAGGAGAGGGAAGAGTGAGGAGGACTTTGTCTTGCATCTTGGATACCAGCTCAGCCACATCAGGGTTGGATACCAGCTAGAGTCATGAGGGCCTTGGGTGAAACTCTGAGGCATGCTGGCTCCGGGTGAGACTCAGCATATTACCAGCTATGGTGGCTATGGGGCAAGACTCCTTCTGCTTGAGGAAAGTGGACAGAAAATTAAAGAAAATTAAGAGAGACTTAGTCTTGCACTTTAGTGCAACTATTGTTACCATTGTTATTCAACATATTACTGGAAGTTCTAGCTAGAGCAATCAGACAAGAGAAACAAATATAAATAAATCTATCTATATGTAAATATATCTATATATATAGATAGATATAGATATAGAGATATAGATATAGCATCAAATTTCAAAGAAAAGTAAAATTATCTTCGTTCACAGATGATAGGACCTTATACTTGGAAAAACCTAAAGTCTCCCCAAAAACCTATTAGAACTAATAAATTCAGGAAAGTTGCAGGATACAAGGCAGATTTCTATATGTCAATAGCAAATAGATTAAAACAAATTTAAAAAGTAATCTCATTTATGATAGCCACAAATAAAATTAAATAGGAATTAACCAAAGAAGTGAAATAGTTCTCTAATGATAAACTATAAAGCATTAATAATTGAAGAGGACACTAAAAATGAAAACATATTCCAGATTCATGAACCAAAAGAATCAATATTGTTAAAATATCCATAGTACTCAAAGCAATCTGTAGATTCAATGTTATCCTTATCAAAATACCAATGACATTTCTTACAGATATAGAAGACACTATCCTAACATTTGTATGAAAGCACAAAACACCCAGAAGAGCCAAAATTATTCTAAGCAAAACCACCAACCAACCAACCCACCAAAACTGGAGGAATCCCATTGCCTGACTTCAAATTATACTACAACAGAGCTACCATAACCAAAACAGCATGGTTCTGGCATAAACACAGATACATAGACCAATAAAACCGAATACTCAGAAACAAATCCACATACCTACAGTGAACTCATTTTCTACAAAGGTGCAAGGAACATACACCAGGGAAAAGATCGTCTCTTCAATAAGCTGTACTGGGAAAAGTGGATATCTATATGAAGAAAAATGAAACTAGTCCCGTCTCTCGCCATATACAAAGATATAGTCAAAATGGACTAAAGACTTTAAGAACTCAAACTATGAAACTACCAGAAGAAAACGTTGGAGAAAATCTCCAGGATATTTGTCTGGGCAAATATTTCTTGAGTAATACTCCATAACACAGGCAACCAAAGCAAACATGGACAAAGGAGAGCACATTATGTTAAAAAGCTTCTGCACAGTGAAGGAAATAAATCAACGAAGAGACATCCCACAAAATGGAAGAAAATGTTTTCAAACTACACACCTGACAAGGAATTAATAACCACAATACATAGGGAGCTCAAATAAATCTATAGGAAAAAATCTAATAATCTGATTTATATATTGATAAAAGATTGAATAGACATTTCTCAAAAGACAACATACAAATCAAAAACAGGCACATAAAAAGTGCTCAACATTGATCAGAGAAATGCTGATCAAAGCTACAATGAGATACCATCTCATCCCAATTAAAATGGCTCTTATACAAAAGACATGCAAAAATAAATGCTGGTGAGGACATGGAGAAAAGGGAACCCTCATAAACTCTGTGGGAATGTGAAGTTGCATTTAAAGTTGTATTTAAAGGTGCAACAGAGAACAGTTTGGAGGTTCCTCGAAAAAACTAAGAATAGAGCTAACGTATCATCCAGCAATCCCGCTGCTGGGTATATACCCAAAAGAAAAGAAATCAATATACTGAAAAGACATCTACACTTCCATGTTTGTTGCAGCTCTGTTCACAATAGCTAAAATTTGGAAGCAACCTATGTGTCCATCAACAGATGAATGGGTAAAGAAAATGTGGTACTTATACATGATAGGTACTATATAGCCACAAAACATAATGAGATCCTGTCATTTGCAACAACATAGATGGAACTGGAGGCCATTATGCTAAGTCAAATAAGCCAGGCACAGAAAGACAAACATTGCATGTTCTCAGTTATTTCTGGCACCTTAAAATCGAAACAACTGGACTCATGGAGATATAAATTAGAAATATGCTTAGCAGATACTGGGAAGGGTACTGGGGGTGGTGAAGGGGTAGGTGGGGATGGTTAATGGATACAACAAATTTGTTAGAATGAATAAGTACTAGCATAATAGACTGACATCGTCAATAACAATTTAATTGTACACTTAAAAATAACTAAAAGGGTATAATAAAATTATAACACAAAAGATAAATGCTTGAGAGGATACTCCATTTTTCATCATGCATTTATTATGCATTGCATTCCTGTATCAAAACATCTCATGTACCCCATAAATGTATACACCTATGTCACAACAAAAATAAAATTTAGAAAAGTCTGTACCAATGTGACCATGATAAGCCTAATTATATTTTCAATCCATGATTGGTTAAGTCCATGATTGGTTGAATCCTCAGATGCAGAATCCAACTCATAAGCCCAACTGCAGAAGCAGATACTGACACCAGGAGACAGAATGAGCATATTCTGTCCTTGGCTGGTACCCACCCTGTCTTCCAACATTGCTTCTTCCAATATCTCAGAGTATCTTTAAACCACACACTTTCATATTCCTTCATAACTTCTCGTATCCTGCTTCTTTGCTGTGAATTTACCAAATGCATTTCTATATAAACTACCAGTCATAAATGCTCAGATAATATGACAATTTCTTTATGAAGGCGTGCTCTACTCAATCAGTGAGAACTCTCACACCTCAGACATCACAATCCTTCTTTTGTACTCTTCACACAAGCTTCAACTCACTCTTGTATTTTAATTATTCCTAAGTTTCAATGAAAATTCCACATGAATATGTATAATTAAAAATTAATGGGCTATCCAAATGCTGTATAGGTATGAAAGTTAGAAATCTAAATAAGCATTTAAAAATGGCAGGTGGAGGGTTATTAATATGTAAAATTGCAAAATTCTAGATACATTTTAGGTACTGCTATGAAATCCTTAATGAGCTGTACACTTATTTTTTTTATGGATATACTTCAATAGTTGTACAAGCTTCATGTATAGCCACAAATATAAACATATTCTAGAACATAAAATGACAAAATGGTCAACAAAGTTATCCATCATCTTAGGTCCTTGAGGGACTTTTGATGAGTGGACCCCGAGTACCATCTGACAGATTTACAATGTGAACATCACATAAACAATGTTTTTATGCAGCTTGAGATGTTACTATGGCATTACCTTGTGCATTCTGACTGATCCATAATTATATTTAAAATTTGCAACAGTGTTCCCTATTTTATGTTCATAACATATCATCATCTGGCATGACCACATCGTATGTTTTACCTATTCACTGTTTGGGTTTTTGTTATTGCACAAGGAGACCAAAATATATTTATTTTCTTCTCTGTTGTTTTCTAACATTAGCACTATGCCTGGCATATATCACTTTTGCACCAACATAATAGTAAAAATTGATTATTTGTTAAATAAATGAAGAAGGAAAAATGATGGTTAGAGAGATTAGTGCAACTCCTTTAGAGATGAATTCAGTAATATCTCATAACATTGAAGATGTTCTTTCTTCACTACCTAAGACTTCCAAGGAGATTATACAAGGATAGATACTCTTACATTATAAAGCATGAAAAAGTGGTAAACCTAAATATTAATATAAAGAAAATGCACACATGATCAATATTAATACCAATTTATTGTGAACATTTCAATTAGTAAAGTTGAAGGAAAATATGTTGCAGAATGATCAGTGTGTTACCATTTAACAAATACATCCTACTAAAATATTACATTTGGACACATATCTGCAATAAAAATATTAAAAATTGATAGGGAAGATACACACCTGTTTAAAAAAATTGGTCTGAGGACACTAAGAGAGGGAATTCAAGAGAGCACAGATAAGACTTTGATGTATCTGTAAAATATATACCGCCCTGTTTTTGAGTCAGGGTCTTGCTTTGTCAACCCAGGCTGGAGTGCAGTTTCGCAATTGTGGCTCACTGCAGCTTCAATCTCCCGGGCTCAAGCGATCCTCTCACCTCAGCCTCCTGAGTAGCTAGGACTATAGACACGTGCCACTATGCCTCCCTGATTTTTTAAAATTTAATTTTTGGAGAGATGAGGTCTCACTATGTTACCCAGGCTGGTCTCAAATACCCAGGCTAAAGCAATCCTTCCACCTCAGCCTTCCAAAGTGTTGGGATTATAGGCATAAGCTACTGCCCCTGGATGATATATATATGATATTTATTTATATTTTTTATATCAATAGGTTTTTGGGGAACCGGTGGTGTTTGGTTACATTAATAAGTTCTTTCATGGCAATTTGAGAATTTGGTGCACTCATCACCCAAGTAGTGTACACTGTACCTGATGTGTAGTCTTTTATCCCTCACCTGCTTCCACCCTTTCCCCCAAGTCCCCAAAGTCTATTGTATCATTATTATCCCTTTGCATCCTCATAGCTTACCTCCCACGTGTGAGTGAGAACATACAATGTTTGGTTTTTCATTCCTGAGTTGCTTCACTTAGAATAACGGTCTCTAATTCCATCCAGTTTGCTGCAAATGCCATTATTTCATTCCTTTTCATGGTTAAGTAGCATTCATCTATATACATATGAAGATATATGAGTATATATGAATATATGAGTATATATGAATATGAGTATATATGAATATATGAGTATATATGAATATATGAGTATATGTGTGAATATATGAATATATATGAATATATGAGTATATGTGTGAATATATGAATATATATGATTTTATCTACTCATTGATTGATGATCATTTGGGCTGCTTCCATATTTTTGCAATTGTGAAGTGTGGTGCTGTGAACATGTGTGCAAGTATCTTTTTCGTGTAATGATTTATTTTCCTTTGGGTAGATACCCAGTAGTGGGATTGCTGGATCAAATGGTAGATATACTTTTAGATCTTTAAGGAATCTCCAGACTTTTCCATAGTGGTTGTACAAGTTTACATTTGCACCAGCAGTATAAAAGTGTTCTCTTTTCAGCACATCCATACCAATGTCTATTTTTTAAAGATTTTTTGATTATGGCCATTCTTGCAGGAGTGAGATGGTATTGCATTGTGGTTTTGAATTTCATTTCCCTGATAATTAGTGATGTTGAGCATTTTTTTCATGTTTGTTGGCCATTTGTATATTTTCTCTTGAGAATTGTCTATTTGTGTCCTTAGCCCACTTTTTAATGGCTTTGTTTTGTTCTTGCTGATTTGAGTTTCTTGTAGATTCTAGATATTAGTCCTTTGTTGGATGTAGAGACTGAAGATTTTCTCCCACTCCATGGGTTGTCTGTTTACTCTGATGATTATGTCTTTTGCTGTGCACAAGCCTTTTAGTTTAATTAAGTCTCATTTATTTTTGTTTTTATTGCATTTGCTTTTGGGTTCTTGGTCATGAAGTCTTTGCCTAAGCCAATGTCTACAAGATAACATTTTCTGATGTTATCTTCTAGAATTTTAATAATTTCAGGTCTTAGGTTTAAGTCTGATCTATCTTGAGTTGTTTTTTCTATAAGGTTACAGATGAGGTTCCAGTTTCATTCTTTACATGTGGCTTGCCAATTTTCTCAGCACCATTTGTTGAATAGGGTGTCCTTTCCCCCACTTTTATGTTTTTGTTTGCTTTGTTGAAGATCAGTTGGCTATAGTATTTGGTTTTATTTCTGGGTTCTCTATACTGTTCCATTGGTCTATATACTGATTTTTATGCCAGTACCAAGCTATTTTGGTGACTATGGCCTTATAGTATAGTTTGAAGTCGAGTAATGTGATGCCTCTGGTTTCGTTCTTTTTTTCCTAGTCTTGCTTTGGCTATGTGGGCTTTTTGGTTCCATATGAATTTTAGGATTGTTGTTCTGTGAAGAATGATGGTGGTGTATTGATGGGAAGTGCATTGAATTTGTCCATTGCTTTGGCAATATGGTCATTTTCAATTATTGATTCTACCTACCCACGAGCATGGGATGTGTTTCAATTTATTTGTGTCATCTACGATCTCTTTCAGCAGTGATTTGTAGTTTTCCTCATAGAGGTCTTTTACCTCCTTGGTTAGGTATTCCTAAGTATTTTATTTTGCAGCTATTGTAAATTGGGTTGAGCTCTTGATTTGAATCTCAGCTTGGTAGCTATTGCTGTATTAACAGAGCTACTGAGTCGTGTACATTAATTTTGTATTCTGAAACTTTGCTGACTTCATTTACCAGTTCCAGGAGCTTTTTGGATGAGTCTTTAGGGTTTTCTTGGTATACGATCATATTATCAGCAAACCGATAGCATAACTTCCTCTTTACTGATTTGGATGCCCTTTACTTCTTTCTCTTGTCTGATTGCTCTGGCTAGGACTTCCAGAACTATATTGAATATAAGTGGCAAAAATGGGCATCCTTGTCTTGTTCCAGTTCTCACAGGGAATGCCTTCAACTTTTCCCCATTCAGAATAATGTTTGCTGTGGGTTTGTCATAGGTGACTTTTATTACCTTACAGCATGTCCCTTGTATGCTGATTGTGCTGAGGGTTTTAATCATAAAGGGATGGATTTTGTCAAATGCTTTTTCTGCAACTATTGAGATAAACACAATTAAAAACACAAGTCACATGGTTATGTGATGTATCACATGTATTGACTTGTATATGTTAAACCATCCCTGAATCCCTGTTATGAAACCCACTTGATCATGATGATTTATCTTTTTGATATGCTGTTGGATTCTGTTAGATAGTATTTTGTTGAGAATTTTTGCATGTATGTTCATCAGGGATATTGGTCTATGGTTTTGTTATGTCCTTTCCTGGGTTTGGTATTAGGGCAATACTGACTTCATAGAATGATCTAGGAAGGTTTCCCTCTCTATCTTGTGGAATAGTGTCAGTAGGATTGATGCCAATTAATTCAGCTGTGAATCCATCTGGCCCCAGACTTTTTTTGTTGGCATTTTTTAATTACCATTCCAATCTTGCTGCTTGTTACTGGTCTCTTCAAAGTTTCTATTTCTTCCTGGTTTAATCTAGGAGCATTGTATATTTACAGAAATTAAATCATCTGTAGGTTTTCTATTTTACACGCATAAAGGTGTTCATAGTAGCCACCAATAAGCTTTTGTATTTCTGTGATATTGGTTGTCATATCACCTGTTTCATTTCTAGTTGAGCTTATTTGACTATTCTCCTGATTAATCTTGCTAACAGTATCAATTTTACTTATTTTTTTCAAAGAACCAACATTGTTTCATGTAGCTTTTGTATTTTTTGTTTCAATTTCATTTAGTTCTGCGCTGATTTTTGCTATTTCTTTTCTTCTGCTGGGTTTGGGTTTGGTTTGTTCTTGTTTTTCTAGTTCCTTGAGGTGTGACCTTAGATTGCCTATTTGTGCTCTTTCAGACTTTTTGATGCAGGCCTTAATAGTATGAACCCCTTATGATTCAGGAATTCCATTAATAAGGATGTATCCAATTTAAATGGGTATGTCAAAGAGATATCTGCACTCCCATGTTCATTGCAACATTATTCACAATAGCCAAGATATGGAATCAACCTAAGTATCCATCAATGGGTGAATAGATATAGAAAACAAGACATATATCCACAGTGAAATGTAATTCAGCCTTTAAATAGAAGAAAATCTTGTTCATTTGTATCAAAGTTGGATATTGTGTTGTATGTATCAAAATATTATAATTGTATATATCATATATACATGTTTATGTGTATAATGTATATTATATATAATACAAAATTATAATTATATATGTAATATATGTGTTGTATATATCAAAATTGCTAAGTGGGTACATTTTAAATGTCTCACCATGAAAATTGGTGATATGTTCTTTAGGTTAATTCCATCATTACAAATAATATACATGTATCAAAATATCACATTGTACCCCATAAAATATGTATTTTAATATTTCAATTAAAAATATTTTTTAAAATAATGCAAAAAGAACATGAAAGTGGAAAAATGATTATAGACATTTTGATCTGGAACTGAAATCAGAAACATGAATATTAATCTATGATTTCTACACACATTTATATATAGATGGTGTCTACTTCATCCTTTTTTCACATTTTATAGATATAATTTGAATTTTTTTATTCTATCTTCTTGAATTAGGAGATTAGTCAATATTTAGGCTTCCTTTCTTCTTAATGATCTATGGGGACAAATTTTTCTGTAACCACTGGTTTAGCTGCATCCTACACGTTTTATGTCGTGTTTATATTATTCTGTCAAAGGCCCACCTGTGATTGATTTTGGTGAGAATCCCATGTGCACTAGAAAATAACGTGGACTTTTCTTATTGTTGTGAGCATTCATATCTACAAGTTTTGTTGCCATTAAGTATGTTGTATAAATCTTTTATAACTTTAGTAATTTGGAGGTTTATGTGCTCTATCACATATTGGTGTGTTAACATACATACCATTAAATTGAGCAATGACTGGGCAAAAGGAAAAATCAAAGGAGAATTAAAATCTCAAGACAAACAAAAAATACAATATACTAAAACTTATGACATGCACCAAATCCAGTACTAAGAGAAAAGTTGATTGCAACGAATAGCCACATGAAAGAAAAAATTCAAATTAACCAACTTTTTACCTCAAGAAACTAGAAACAGAAAGCCTAAGTCCAAAGTTATCATAGAGAATAAAATATTAAAGTAGAAATAGGAGACTGGAAAAACTAGAAAAATCAGCAAAACTATTTAAAAATTAAAAGGTGATAAACCTTAGCTAGACTAAGAAAAAAAGTATCCTAAACTAAAATGAGAAATAGGAGGAGTCATTAGAACAAATGCCTCAAAATGAAAAGGATCATAAAAGACTATTATGAAAATTATGCACTTATAAATTAGATAATCTATAAGAAATCAAACTTCTTGATTTATACAACCTACCAAAACTAAAGAGGAAATAGGAAGCCTGAACAGACCAATAAGAACAAATTAGTAAACAAAAGATTCCCAGAGAAAAGACCAGAACCAAATGGCTTCGTGGATGAATTCTAAACATTCAAAGAAGAATAGCAATCCTTCTTAAACTCTTTCAAAAACCAGGAGAGAACGCCCCAAACTCATTTTATGAGGCCATCATACACTTATATCAAAGCCAGACAAAGATAATCACAAGCAAATAAAACTGCAGGTCAATATCACTGATAAACATAGGTGTAAAAATCTTCAACAAAATACTAACAAACCAAATTCAACAGCCCATTAAAAAGAGAATAAACCATAGCCAACTGAAATGTATCTCTGGGATGCAAGAATGCTTCAACATAGGCAAATCAATCAGTGTGATATAACACATTAAGAGAATAAAAAAATTTGCAGCAAAAACATTTGACAATTCATGTAAAAACTCTGAAAAACAGGTATAGAAGGAACTTAGTTCAACACATCATATAAGAAAAGCCCACAGTTAATAAAAAATGAAAATGTTTCTCCTATGGTCTGGTACAAAGTGAGGATGTCCATTGTCACCAGTTCTATTTAACATGGTACTGAAAGTCCTAGCCAAAGCAATGAAACAATGAGTTAAATTATGATAATTTTTCAACATAATTGTCCTCGTATCCTATATTTTCCTAGGTACTGAAGACCTCTAATGGACAGATTTTTTTAAAAGATAATTTGAAGGGCCAACTGTGTAGTCAGACTTTATATTCTTATGGTGATGTTTACTTTTGTTGTAACACACTAGATCACTTTCTTAGAAGTTCCCTAAAGTTGGGAGTTTGGGGGAACTAAGTTACAGGAGAGTCTCCCTGCTGTGGATTGGGGACAGTTGAGGGACCATTTCTGAAATGATTATTCACGACTTGAGCCAGATTATCTAGACTTCGTTATTGAACTAAACATCTTTGGAAAATTAACGCTGTTTTTGGCCTCTTGCCAATCAAGCGGTCTTTTCAGGCCTCTCTTAGGTGGAGTCATGAAAACAACTCATCCCTCCCTCTTAATACGTGTCTATCACTGCACAGTTAGGGTCACATTCTTCTTACTCTTGCAAGGCGATGAAATGCAATGACATGCAGATCTACTCAGCTGGGCCTTGGATTGCCAGAGGCAGAGGGCTTGAACTTAATTTTATTCTTACCTAGAGCATGAGCCCACGAAGCTTCCTCAATAGGATAGCAATGTAGAAGGGCCACAGTGCAGAAATAGAGTTTCAGTCAATCTTATTCAACTTGAACTTCTACATGAGAGCTGGGTTGTATCAACATCGAGGATAAAGGGGGGAATCTCAAACTGCTGGTGGGAATTACAATGGGTTTTCTGTCTTGTTTTCTGGTTTGAGAGCGTGCACTGAGTCAATGCCAGGAGTTTAAAAAATACGTACAAGCTTCCGCTCCTAGGGAAGCGTAGTATGGAAATAATCAGATGAGTGGGCAATTTATTAAAAAAGTGCATTCCGGTGTTATTTGCAATAAGAAAGTGGAAGTAACCTAAGCGTCTGCTAACTGGACACGTACTAAATAATTTAGGTTTTAGTACATAATAGAATTCTAAGTGACCAGTGGAATGTGAGGTGATCTATGTTCATTCTTCATCCTATAGCAGGTTCATTGTATTCTTAAGTGAAAAGGTGGCATATTTTCAACCTATATAATCATCTCCTTACAACTGTATTCTCTATTTCTAAGAACAAGATTATAATACATGCTGTGTATGTATTAAGGGATTTCATTTCAAAGATAATCAAAAAAGGTAAAGATTTTTACAATCTTTCAAATTACACAAAGCCATTATTTGCAAGCATCCCTGCCTTGGGCCAAGACTATATTATCCTTTCTCCCTTTGAAGTAGTTTCCCCAGTTTATACAGGGAGACAGAAAAGCAGTTCTCTTCATTAAACCTTCAGCTATTCAGAAGCTGAGGCCCAAAGATATGGTTTTAACTATGTTCAAACATGTTTTCTGATTTTAATTTTTCCAAGTTTATAGAATACTTCATTAACATCACTGGTCATTTCAATTAAACACTTTGGAAATCCAGGGAAAGAACAATTTTGATAACATCAACTGACATATGTAATCCTAAACTTTGCATTTAAATTTTCAGTCATGAAAGTGTTTTCTGCTTCTACCCTTGAGAAATGCCCCTTAATGGGACTTACCTCCTGTTTGCTTCAAAGAAGGAATATATGAAGAATCTAGCAAAAGCCAATGACTTTTTTACATAAGCTCCAATTTTAAAATAGTTAAACCACTTATCAGTGAAGCTGGAAATAATTTTAGTTTTTTGGTGTTTTTTTGCTTCTAGCATCACCCTTGACATGCAGTTCTATGTGAGCCTATAAAAGTCTAACTTTGTTAATCTTCAGTTTCCACGTCGTCTCTTCAAACCTGAGATGCCAAGGAAACTTTCTTTTAAAGATTTTTAAAAGGTACTAAGCCTTCTAAAATGAAAGTTTTTCATTCATTTATTACACTAGTATTTATTAAGGGCAAATTCTGTATTAGGAAAAATTTTAAGTGCTTGCGATGCCTAACAATTCTTGTTTTTAGGTATGTGATGATTTAATAAAACCAAATAAGCTTAAAGTGCTCATAAAAAATACAATGTGAAACAACCAGAGTTCAAGCTACAGGTATTTACCATTTTATATTCTTTGCTAGTTGTATAAACCAAAGGAATGTAGTCAAAACAAACCAAGTATTTTCCTGGCCTTTATTACCTGGGATTTAGAAGGAAGCACACAGTGAAATGCTGCTAAGTGTGTGACATGGTCACGGGAGTCACCCAGGTTTAAGAAATCCATCCTCAGTACAATCACAGCTGAAAAAGAAGCTTAAAAATGCATCTGGTTTTTATCATTTGTGTGTGAATCAGCCTGTTGTTTTAACTAAATAACCTATCGATGCCATAAAGTTGTCTATGAATACAATTGCTTTATGTATGGAACTTCTTTGTAGAGTCAGGACCTGACATTTCAGTCATTTTGTTTTCACAGAATTGTCAGAATTCTTTAGCAGAACTTCACTTCATTTAAAGTCAGTTGTCCAACTTGACAGGGATGTTCTGTCACTTTTTCAGATTTTTAATTTTTGTGGATACAGAGGTCTGCATTTTGTTTTCTTTACGCTAAATAATTATCTAATTATCTTCAGTTTCTCTGATCATTCCTTTTTGCCTGATATCTTCCTGAGCATTGAATAAAGCAGTTAATAAGGTATTTAATAAGTAGACTTTATGCTTTCTTCTATTACAATTTTATATTGCATATAGATGTTTATTGTATAAAACAAGTCTGTAGAAGCAAGTTAATTTTATATCCATATCCCTTACCTGCAGAAAGACCCCACAGGGAATCTGATTACCCCTCAATGTGGGTCATCAGGTCCTTGGCTAGACCAGCCTAACTAGCATCCAACAGCAAATGAACATGGCTTTTATCAGCATGTTGCTCTGAAGGGACCTTTGTCCCCAGGTCATTATTAGGGTTAACAAGCTGGCAGATA